>NC_000012.12:44732855-44884370 GCF_000001405.40 Homo sapiens | reverse complement strand
TACTTCTTCTTTCAGTTCTATTACTCTTTCTCCAGGTAAATGTTTCATACATTTTGATGCTTTGCTGTTAGGTGCATATATACTTAGGATTGTTGTGTCTTAATTGTGAACCCTTTTGTTATTCTGTAATGTACCTCTTTCTTCCTGATAATTTTTTGTACTCTAAAGTTTGCTTTTTCTGACATTCACATATGACATTCAACTTTCTTTTGATTCATGTTTACCTAGTATATATATTTTTATATATTTTTAATCCTTTACCTTTAACTTACCTCATTATATTTGAAGTAGATTTCTTTTTAATAACATATAGTGGGATTATATTTTTCAAATTCCTTCTGATGAGTTCAGTCTTTTAATTGTTATGATTAGACCACTTGTATTTAAGGCAATTATTGACTCGTTTGGATTTTGGCCTACCATTTTATTGTTTCCCTTTGTTCTTTCTATTTTCTGTTCTATCTTAACTATTTCCTGCTTTCTTTCAAGTTATTTAAATATTTTTAGAATTCCATTTTACCTGTTGTATCTCTTAACTATATCTTTATTATATTATAGGATTTTGGGTTGGTGCTCTAGAGAATTATGATATACATACTTCACTTTTTATCATCTACTTAGAGTTCATATGTTATTACTTCAATTGGAATGTGGAAACCTTACCATTATATCGGTCCCTTTATTCTCATATCTTTATGTTGTGTTTGTCTTATGTATTAAATCTACATATGTTAAAACTCCATTAGATAATTTAAAAACATTTTCTTTCAATCATTGTGGTAGCCAGGAGAATGGAGTCCCAAAGATGTCTACAACCTAATCCCTAGAACCTGTGAATGTGTTACTTTACATAGCAAAGAGACTTGAACATGTGATTAAGGCAAAGGGTCTTCAGATGGGGAGACTATACTGGATTATCCAGGGGGTCCTAATCTAAAAATATAAATCCTTAAAAGCAAAGGCCCTTTCTAAACTGTAGTCAGAGAACCAGAGAGAGTGTAGTGTGAGAAAGACTTTGCCTGCTGTTGCTGGATTGAAGATTGAAGGAGGGGGCAATGAGCCAAGGAATGCAGACACCCTGTAGAAGTTAAAAAAGGTATAGAAATAGATTCTTCCCTAGAGTCTTCAGAGTGAAGCTTAGTCATGCCAATTCTTTGATTCTAGCTTGGTGAGTCTGGTGTCAGGCTTATGGCCTTTGGATTTATAAAATCATAAATTTGTGGGCCAGGTTCAGTGGCTCACACCCATAATCCTAGCATTTTGGGAGACCAAGGCAGGTTGATCACTTGAGATAAGGAGTTCAAGATCAGCCTGGCCAACATAACACCCTGGCTCTACTAAAAATCCAAAAAAAAAAAAAAAATTGTCTGGGCATGTTGTTACATGCCTGTAGTCTCAGTTACTTGGGAGGCCAAGGCAGGAGAATTGCTTAAGCCCAGGAGGCAGAGATTGCAGTGAGTTGAGACTGCACCACTACGCTACAGTCTGGGTGACAGAAGGAGACTCTGTCTCAAAAAAAAAAAAAAAAAAAAAAAAGGTATATAGCCAGGCATGGTGGCTCACGCCTGTAATCCCAGCAGTTTGGGAGGCTGAGGTGGGTGGATCACCTGGGGTCAGGAGTTTGAGACCAGCCTGGCCAACATGGTGAAACCCTGTCTCTACTAAAAATACAAAACTTAGCCAGGCCTGGTGGTGCCTGCCTGTAATTCCAGCTACTCGGGAGGCTGAGGCAGGAGAATTGCTCGAACTCGGGAGGTGGATGTTGCAGTGAGCTGAGACGGTGCCACTGCATTCCGGCCTGAGTGACAGAGTGAGACTCCATCTCAAAAAAATAAGGATATATATGTATGTGTGCGTGTGTGTGCGTGTGTGTGTATATGTGTGTGTATGTATATATACACATATGTATATATGTTGAAAATACATATATACACGTATGTATGTATACTTTCAACATATATACATATGTGTATATGTATACACGTATGTATGTATATTTTCAACATATATACATATGTGTATATATATATACATACATATATATGAATCTGTGTTGTTTTAATCCACCAAAGTTGTGGTAATTTGTTACCGCAGCAATGGAAAAATAATATAACCATCAAACATATTTTACAGTACTCAAGAATAGTATATTTTTTAACCCAGATATTTGCCACTTCTACTCTTCATTCCTGATATGCTGTTATCTTTATGGTATTATTTCTCTTCTGCCTGAAGAAATTTCTTTAGCAATAATTTTAGAGTAGGTCTATTGGCAATCAGTTTTTAAAGATTTTCTTTATCTGAGAATGTTTTTCTTTCATATTTATTCCTGAAGGGTATTTTCAACAGATAGAGAATTCTGGGATGACAAAATTCTTTGGACACTTAGAAAAAAAAATTCCACTTTTTTGTGGCCTCCATGGTTTGCATTCATTCAAACTGTTGTTTCCCTATATGTAATGCCATTTTTTCTTGTTGCTTTTAGGATTTTTTCTTCTCTATTGATAGTTCCATTTTTCTATTGTTTTCAGCACTCTGGTTATGGATTCCTATAAGTGTATCCTGTTGAAGTTTGCTGAGCTCCTTGAATCTGTAAGTTTATGTCTTTTGCCAAATTTGAGACATCTTAGAACATTCTTTCTTGATTAACAACAACAACAAAATGTCTGCACTCTTTCTTCTCCCCTTTTGGAATTCTGATGACATTTTCTTTTCGTTTTGTCCCACAGGTTCCTGTGACTATATTCATTTTTTAAAAAAAGTCTTCTCCCTTTTGTTCAGATTGGGTAATTTTAATTGATCTGTCTTCGAGCTCACTGATTCTTTCCTTTATCATTTTCATTCAGCTACTGGGCCCATTCTAATGATTTTTGTTTGTTTATTTGTTTTTAATTTCAATTATTCTGTTTTCCAGCTCTAAAATTTCCACTTGGTTCTTCTCTATATCTTTTATGTATTTGCTGCCATTTTCTGTCTTTCATTGGTTTCAAGAGTATTTGTGTTTATTTGTTAGAGCATTTTTATAATAGTTTCTTTAATCTTTTCCAGATAATTCCAACATCTGTGTCATCTTGGCATTGGTATCTGTTGATTATATTTTTCTTATTTAAGTTGAAGTTTTTCTAGTTCTCCATATGCCAAATAATTTTTTATTATAACCTAAATATTTTAATATTAAGTTATAAAACTCTGAATTTTGTTAAGTACTGTGGTGAATGTTGGATTTTTAGAAATTTAAGCAGGCGATTGACTCTTTAGAATTTAGACAGAAGATTTTGACTTGTCTTCCTTTTGTGTGGTTTTAAGACTTTGTAGTATGCAACTGTGCAACACAGAGGCCAGCCTGTGACCTGGGTAATGGTCTATTTCTTAGACCACTACCTGGCTGGTAATCATTGCCTGGCTGGTCTGAGTGCAGTGGTGCTTACAACTAATTGGTCACAACCAATTACAGATTTATTTGTTCATTTTCCACTCCTACTGCTTCAGTTGACTAGCCAAAAACAACAACAACAACAACAACAACAACAACAAGAACAAAACAAAGAACTCACTGCCAGTATGGTAGTACTTCAAACTCTGGTTTTCTTTCCTAGTTTGCTTGATACCATGTAATTTTCAGAGTCCTCAAATACTTTATACATTCTGTTGAATTTTGATGGCATTCAGTGGGAGAAATGGTAAAGTGTACTTAATCCATTTTACCCAGAGTTAGAGCCTCATGATATTCTTTAATTTTTGAAAACTTTTAAATGTTATTTGTTTAAATGTTATGTATAATACTATATACTTCTATTCTTTCTAGTCTGTTATTCCACATCTCTAACTAGTTGTGTGTTGGTTATTTTAACTGTAACATTCATGTTTTGTTTATGTTTTCCATTCTTTTTATCGGTCTTGGCACATTCTCAGTAATATTCTCACATCTGACTTTTTGTTTTCAATGTTTTTGGTCACTAATTTTTAGCACTGTTTTATTGCTGCTTATTAGAGCTAATGGTTTTTAATATTGTTTTTAAACATACTTTTATTGCTAGAAGTTCTATTTGGTTTCTTTTGAGATATGTCTACTCTTTTCTCATACAATTCTGTCATTTCATTTCTTTTATATCCCTTTAAAAATATCTCCAATCACTTAAACATTCTTATTTTATGTTTTCTGTCACTTTATTTTTTGATATCCTGAGGTCATGAGATACTAATTCTCTGTTTTTCTCTCTCTCTCTCTCTGTGTGTGTGTGTGTGTGTGTGTGTGTATGTTTCTTGACTATTTTTCATAGTCTTTTATCTCAGTGTAATAGTAATAACAATGACAATTATTATTATTATTATTGCACAGCAGGAATTTTCTTCTTGTGTACCAGAAGTCATAGAAAGTCACTTAAAAGAAGTCTTATATTTGCTTCTTCAGAAGACCCTGGGAGTTTAATGCTACTTTTTGATTTTAGAATTTCCATATCAGTGAGGAGTGTGATCTCGGACCTTGTACCTGCAAGTGGCAAAGCTTGAGATTTGACATTTAGTATAGGTGCATTGGTTTTCCACAAGGGCACGTGCAGCTGGCAAGCTTCGGCCAACATGCAAAGTTTTAAAGTTTCAAAAGTTTCTTTTTGTAGGAGATATAATTCTTCAAAGCTTACTACTCTTATCAGAAGAATCAGTAATATCATCATCTTTTCTGGCTTCCAAAATTTGTTGTTTTCAGTTCTGGTGTGGATGTTAAAATCCCACTCTATTTTCTTAGGGTCCCGATAGAGTCTGAATCCCTGTGTTCCACCCTCTCCAAATTCTTGCACCACCTATTGCTTTCTCTGTCCATCTTCTGCTATGTCTTTTTTCTAGCACCTGGGGATTTTCTTTTCTTAATTTAAAGCTCATCTGTGAATTTAAAAATTGGGCATTTTACTTAGCTTTGATATGTGTATATGGTAGGAAGGGATCTAAGGGTCGTTAGAGTCAACCATGTTTACTGAACTTTTCCTCATGTAGTCAGTACTTATATTAGTTTTCCGTGGATGCTGTAACCAACTACCACAAATTTAGTGGATTAAAACAACACAAATTTATTATCTTACGGATGGTTGTTCAGAAGTCTAAAACAGTCTTGACTTTTTTGGGCAAGAGTCAAGTTATCAGCAGGGTTGTATTCTTTTCTGGAGGCTCTAAGGGATAATCTTTTTCCTTGCCATTTCCAATTTCTAGATGCCTCCCATATTCCTTGTCTCATAGCCCTTCTATATTTTCCCATCTTCATAGTCAGCAACAGGAAGTCGAGTTCTTCTCATATTGCATTAATCTGACCTCCTCTTATGCCTCCTTCTTCCACATTTAAGGGCCCTCGTGATTATATTGGGCATACCCAGATAATCTGAAATAATCTTCCTATTTTAAGGTTACCTGATTAACAATCTTAATTCCATCTGCAACCTTAAATCCCCTTTGCCATGTGAGGTAACATACACAGGTTCCACTGATTAGGAACTGGAAAAGACTGTTTCTTAAGGGGAAGGGGATTGGAATATTATTATGCCTACAACAATGATTGCAAGCAAAATTTTAACATTGTCTAAAAGGAGTTTGAGTGTATGTAGATATAATACATAAGACAACTACAACCTAAAGAGTTGAGGATAAAGGGATTTGATGTGGTAGTAAAGCTTCTGTATTCGAACTGAAGTGGTAATGTATGGACTCTAGGTAGAAGGTGAAAAGTTAAGTATGTATATTGTATTCCCTAGAATACCAATTTTAAAAGCTTCACAAAGAGATATAGTCAAAAGAACACATAGATAAAATGGAATACTGAAAATACTGGCATTCAGTGGATAGAGACCAAGAATTCAACTAACATCCTACAAGGCACAGGACAGCCCCAATAAAGAATTATCCAGCCCCAAAATGTTAGTAGTTATAATGTTGAAAACTCCTGCCCAGGTTGAGAAACTCTGCCCTAGCTAATACAATGGCTCACCTTTACTATGGGTTTCCAAACCTTATACCTTAGTTTTAGAGAAACAACTCTTCACACCTCCCCATACTCATATTTTAATGATTTCCATACTATTTAATTAGGTCAAATAATTACAGTAGCAGGTTCAACTAGAATTATTTTGGGTACCAAATACCACTGTTCTGGAGGGAGCCTCAGTGTGTATGGTACTGGAGATAAGCCCATTAACCACCAGCTTTCAGCATATGGATGAGAGTCAGAGAAACTCGAGAGTATCCCTACTTTCATGAGTTGGTTGAACACAGGTTGGTTAGGAGGACTTTTATGTGGAAATATATATGTGCATATGTATATTTATGTTTTATTCTTTTCTCTAATGATAGCATTTTAAATGCTACGTTATTTAAAATTTATTTCGTGTAGCTTCTGTAGATACTTATTACAATTGAATATTTTAGATGCACAGCTGTAGAAAGGTCTTTAATTCTCTGATGATTAATTTCTTTTCATTGATTAATTAAATTGTATTATTTATTTGGCATAGTTTTTCAAATTTGGGAAATTGCATATGACAATCCTTTATCACTTGTAAGTACTGAAATATTTCTCAAACTTTACAAAGTTACAAATAGAATTAAATGGGAAATTCGATAAGAGAGAATTAAAAATTAATTTAAAAGAGCTCCCGAATTCTGAATCTTTTGTCTTAAAAATTCTAAGGGCAGATCTAAAAATACCTCTTTCCCTATAGTATAATATAGTATATGTATTCCACTATATGATAATATCTATAACTATATATCTATAGATAAAATGTATATTATACTCCTGCCTTGCAGGGGGCTCAGACTACCCAGTAGGCATTTTGGTAACTGTAGCTGTTAGTATCCAGTTGGAGAATTCAGTACCCACATGTTTGCATGGAAGGTTAAGAAACCCAATTGATCTTTGTACAGATTAATACCATAATGGTTTTTTAAACTCTTAACTTTTCCAAAATGAAAGTGGAATGCCATTCCTCAAAATTTACCTAAAAATTTTAGGGCTATGTTCAAAAAATATTATGTACCATTGATCTTGAACATACATGTGCCTGCTGAAAAATGGATCTCAAAGGACACCACTTTTATGGTCCCGGACATATGTGGTGAAGGGCAGGTAGAGCCTGCATGAGTGTGGTCAACAGTGGGATGGCTCTTCTCTCTCGCCTGGGCTCCATCTCCTCCCTCTGCTTATTTACGTATTTATTTATTTCTCTCTCTCTCTCTCTCTCTAACCATCTCCTCTATGTAGGTAGATATTTCGGCGTGAACAGACGCCCTGGCTCAGTTCCCCTTGCCTTCTGCTGTATGCTGGTCCCAGAGAGCCCGAGTCCGGGTCTCCACGCTTTATTTGGCAGGGGGCGCGCGGGTTCCGGAGCTGTCCAGCACCTCCTGGCCAAGTTCTCTGCGCTCTCCGCGCCCGGGAAGCTCTCCGCGCCGGGGAAGCTCTCCAGCGCCCCGCCCCCGGCAGGGAACCTCTCCACCAGGACACCCGGGGCTTCCCAGGCTCGCCATCCGTCCCCACCAGTCTCTACCTACTTTGCCCAGCTCCACCTCGGCAGTGCAGCGTGTTTTGGTGGCCTTCCTCCGCACGCCCTGGAGGGGGAGTGCCCTGCACCCCGGGGCTGCTCCGGAGCCCAGTGCACGAGTGCACATGGGCTTCCCTCCTTTGCTTAAAGGGCAGGCGAGCGCTACTCGCTCCAGCCTTGCCTCCTGCAGCTGGGTGGTCTTTTTTCTCTCCTGTCTTTCAAGACACGCGCCCGAAATCGAGGGGTGAGAGCAAAGACCGCCCATCAACTTAGCACCTTGGATTTAGAGCTTTCAATCCCGAAAGGAGGTTGGCATTGCCCGGGTCATCGAGAGAGGGAGGGAGAAGAGCTGAGGCTGCAACGGCTCCTGGGCTCCCTAGACCGGGTTTGGCATCCAGGAGACCGTGCGGGAGACCGACGCTGAGCGCCGGCCTCGCCCTCGGCGGCCCCTCCCTCCTCCTTACCCCGCCTCCCCCGGCCCGCCCCTCCCTCCCCGGAGGAGCAGTCTCTCCGCGCGTCTCCCGGAGCTTTCTCCATTGTCTCTGCCTTTACAACAGGTTCGGGCGGCGGGGAAGACGGGGGGGTGCGGGGCCGCCCCAGCCCGGGCTTTCTTGGGGCCGCCCCCCTTCTACCGGGTGTGCGAGTCTTTGGCTGCTTTTATTCGGCTCGGGAGCTAATTCCCCGACGGAGCCGCGCCGGGGCGAGTCCGACCCCTCCCTCCGGGCCCCCTCCGGGCCGCGCTGCCGCCTCGGCCCTGCGTGTGGGAATGATGTGCGCATTGGAGGGTCTAAGTTCTTCACGCGCCTGGGGAGGCCTCCCTTTTCTTTCTTAGGCAACCAAAGCGTATTAATCCTACTGATCAGTAAATCCGAGGCAGCAGCAGGAGAGACAAACGTTATTTTCCCGCTTGATTCCAAGAACCTCTTCGATTTTTATTTTTATTTTTAAAGAGGGAGACGATGGACTGAGCTGATCCGCACCATGGAGTCTCGGGTCTTACTGAGAACATTCTGTTTGATCTTCGGTCTCGGAGCAGGTGAGTGGCCGCAGAGCTGGGGCTGGGGAAAGGGATGGCTCCCGCCTCGGGGCAGCATGGGCTGGCTGGGGAAGCCTCGCTTTTCCCGGACCCAAAGTAGGTCTGGAGTGGGAAGCTTGGAGTAAGGGGGCGGGTTTGGATATGGATTTTTTTTTTTTCTGTGCTTGCCTTGGAGACCGCGAGGCGGATCACGCCCCTAGTCCAGGGTCGGAGGGCTGAGGGGGAACTTTGCAGAGAGAAGGGTTTAAAGGAGGTCATGGAAACGGGACTGGGTGCTCCGCTATTTAAAGCTTGGCTGCTGATCTCAGGTAAGGCTCTCGGCGGAGGAGGAGGCAGTCGCCTCTCATCTTCAGTTCCCAATATTGTCGCGAAAACGCGGTTCTTTGCTGCCCTGGAGGAAGAGACTTGCATTTTGATGGAGCTTTTCCTTTTTCTCTCTCCCACCTCATACCCCTCACCAGTTTGGGGGCTTGGTGTGGACCCTTCCCTACAGATTGACGTCTTAACAGAGTTAGAACTTGGGGAGTCCACGACCGGAGTGCGTCAGGTCCCGGGGCTGCATAATGGGACGAAAGCCTTTCTCTTTCAAGGTATGCCCGGCGTGCTGCATCCCCACTGTGATTTCAGTTCCGATAACCCCGGCAGGAGTTGCTCTTGCCGCTTGTCCTAACTTTGTATTGCCTCATGGATGACAGTACTTTAGCTGAGGTGTAGAAGGGCCAGTGTGAGACACATATCCCTATCTCTTTTAAGTGGTTTTTTCTCCCCTGCCTCACCCTTCTCCTTCGTACTTTGTACTCTTGCCAGTTCTAATGGATAGTCCCTTAATTACTGAGCAGAAACTCCTATGGCAGATGGTTGATTTTAGAATCTGGGGAACAATGAATTATAACACAAACGCCTCGTTTGGGTGAAATTGATTTAGGTAGGAAAAAGGATAGCTTAATCTTAGTTAAGACACTGATCTCTGAAAGTTTCAGGTACGATGGTGCCCTGCTTGGAGGAATTGTTTTATGGGGGTAGCTTTCTGGAAAAATTAATGCCTCTGAATATTTTTACTTACTGCATATCACAGTCGCAGTATATTTGAGGCAAAATTTATCTTTGAAAGACCCTCATTCTTCCTTCATCCACCAATAACAAGAGAAAGGGAATAATGGTCTCAAAAGTATTTTGGAAAGATTTCAAGTAAATGTTAATCTAGAAGTGTATCTCATATTATCATTAATTGTGTACTTACGATTTTACAACTTTTTTTTGAAGTCAATGGATATTGGCTGGGCACAAATGTCTACATCTCAAATTATATTTAAATGTGTTGTGCAGTCAGAAGCAAATTCCAATGCAGCAAACCTTCAACTTTGATTAGAGCTTTTGAGGATTGCTTGTTTGTGGAAAGTTGCCGTAATAAGAGCTTCTAAAAGGTAGCTAAACGTGTACAGACAGACTAGATTCATGTATGGTGAAGAATACATGAAGGCAAAAGAGAATGGAGTTTGGTTTAACATATCTAATGGACTAAAGCTTCTTGCCCTACCTCACCCAGATTTTTGTTGTTGTTGTTGTTATTTTGGTGCCATGGCTTTGAAAGTGCAATTCATAATTACTAAAGAGTTGGATATGCAAAAGGAAACCACTTCGGAAAATATGCTACCAAGAAATAGAAATAAAATAAAACTTGAGTGTTTCTGTAGTGGTGTTGTTGCCTGATATAGCCAGTATGTGTCACCATGGACACTAAAACCAAAGCTTAGAGTTGGGAAAGGAGGAAATTCACATGTGTTACATTTACTTAAAACAAGTTTGCTCTTATAAAAAATTAAAATGCAATTTTCTGGCTTAAAAATTATTGTTTAAATTTTATGTTTAAGTTAATTTTTTATTGTAACAAATATTTATGGTAATGTTTTATTCACTTAAGGGTCTTTTATAAGAGGGTGGGGCTTGGATATTGAATCCTTTAAAAACAATGACCAAATATAATAAAGAAGATAAGGCTACATTGTCAGCAGAATTTCACACAGTTGAATAGAAGTGTCAGTAGGGTTAACCTTCTGTTTTTTTTTTTTTGTTGTTGTTGTTTTGTATTGTGTTGTTTTTATCTCTGATTTTTAATCCCTATGAACTGGAAACAAAGTTATTTCAGGACTGCCAATTCGAGTAACTGGAAAGCTTTATGGAATCTAAAGCTCCTAATAAACAAATGGTATTGTAGTGCTCTTAAAATTTACAAAGCTCCTTTAAATTTTATTAGTATTCTACCTAGTTTCCTCTGAAGAGTGTCTGATCTGTCACAAATAGAAACCTTCAGGACTGTGCATTTTATATTCTGATGCTAGAAAATTAAACCATTTTTAGGAAATAGTCTCAGGAATCGATAACTTTTCCTGGTTAATTAAAAATGTTTAGTTATTCATTTTTATTTAAATTGTCAAATTCTTCAAGGTAGGTGTTCAAAATACATAAGGCATATAAAATGTTTTGTTTGAATTGTCCATAGTAACTAGATATCCATGTACATTGATGAATTGGTTGTTTTTCCTTCCTTGTTGATGCCGAGCTCAATATTTAGACAGAGTAAATGCCTAACAAATATGGTTTATGAGATTTGAAGGTGTAAAATTTCATTTTCTGCCAAATTATGGACTTTATTTAATATAACCAATCAATCAGCAAGTATTTCCTGCATGCCATGTTCTCAGTAGGCATATATTACTGATGTATTGATTATGCTCTTGTGATTTCTTTTATTCTAAGATTCGGATTATGAAATTGACAAAAGGTGGCCCTTTGGCCATGCATGGAATTTCGCATTACCTTGGCAAGGTCTTTGCTAATAGCATTTGGAAACTTGTTAAGAAGTCAGTTCCGAGTCTTGCTGCTTCATTGAGATTTCCTTTGGCTTTAGAGAGAAAAAAATATACAGACTGAAGATTTTATAGATTCTATTTACAGTGAGTTGAGGGTGCTGCAGATATTTTGTACGGTATATACATATACACTATACATAGTCATAGCAGGAATAGTAACAAATTACAAAATCCGTGAGATGCTCTCAGGTTTCATATGAACCTATCATATAAGTTTCTTTGTGCTATCAGATATGTTCTAAATAGATGGAAGAGATTTTTGGACCATCAAATTTTTCCTGCAGTAATGTAACCATCTTCTTCTGTCTTTTAGCTTTAAAATAAAGAAATCTCAACATATACTTTCCCAGTGATTTTTGCTCATTTAATATTGCTTTTCCTTGTGCCAGTTTTTCTCCTTAGTGGATTTTGAGATGCATGCAATTCAATACCTTTTGAAACTCGTAAATTTATTATTATCTATACCTAATAAAAACAAATGGAAATATATTTTAAAGTCATATGTTTTAAAAATAATAATAGCAACTATAGTATCACTAAAATGGTTTTGTTGTTGTTGAAATTTGATTTATAGTTGTTTTGGAAATTCAAGTAATAAGATGCTAAATTAGATTACACCTTAATAAATATGGCTTTTGATCTTTGCCAATTACCATAATTTTCAAAAAAGGAATCCAGGCAATTTTCTAGTCATTTCTAGCTATAATCTGACTTGCAGCCACAAAAATACACTTATTATGCTTTTAAAAATTAGAGGAGTGAATGTAGACAATAAAAAGACCTATGAAAGGTTATAAAGGGTTCTACTTTCTAAAATCTAGGAAGTATTCCCCAAGATAATGATCATAATAATGTTTTTTTCCTCTCTGTACATGAGGGATCAGGAATGAGAGTATACAGAAGCACCATTCTAGGACTTTCTAGCAATGTTAGCATGATTTTTAGATCTTTGATTTTAACAATTAATCTGGCCAGGTTCCCAAAGTAGATAATTTCCTCTGTTGGTTTAATACAATTTCTTCTGAAGTGTTAACAGATTTTATAATCTCATTAATCCATAGAAGAGAAGTGGATAAAATCAAAGCATGTTTTTTTTACAAGTTGTTAAGTTGAAAATAAGCTTAGTAGTTATTTGTAAAAAACTTTAAGGTTTTAAAGGGAAAAAAAGGTCGTACGTCTCCTCTTATGCCAGTGTTACGCAGAGTGAAATAGGCATTTGGTAATAGACCATGGACTTTAGTAGGCAAAGGTAACTGCATTGAGGAAATCGAGGTGGCACTAATTTGTCTTCAGTATGATGGTTGGTGAGCATCTGTGGACTTTGAAGTGATGGCTGTTGGTGCCCAAATAGTGTGGAATAACACAGTGTTTAAGAGATGCACTTAGAAACAAGATAGACTGAGGTGGAATTTCATTAGTTGTTTTACTGTGGTGAAGTTACTTAATTTCTCTAAGCTCCAGTACCCTCAATTATAAAATGATCATTGTTATGACAATTAAGCGAGTTACTTTCATTCTTTCAAATAAGTTATTTTTGGGAAACTAGCATACTGCTAGGTGTTAGGCACATAACAAATGAAGACGTTAGAACTTAACTTTGATTTCATAGTGTCTTAAAAATAGCCGTTGAACAATTACATAGTTACAGACCTAATCACCATTAAGATAAATTATATGAAGAAAAACTGAAGATATAATGGGAATCTATATTTTAGTTAGGGGAGTCTCAGGCTCAGGGAAACCATCTTTGAAGAATAGTCATTTAAGCTGATAGTTGAAGGATATGTAAGAGTAGTCCAAAGAAGAGAAGCTATGGGGATAGGCAAAGGGACTAGTGTGTGAGCAAGGTTCTGAGCATGGGATGAATGTGCATTTGAGAACGTGGAGGAAGTCTAGAGAAGTAGAAACATAGGGCATGTGATATGAAATAAAGTATATGAGGAAAGCAGGAACCAGGTTACATGGTAGGCTATACTAATAGAGCAGAATTGAAAATTTATCATTATGGAAATATATATTATGGTGGGCAGAATAATGGTCCTGCATAGATGTTCATGTCTTAATTCTTGGAACCAAACAATAGGTTACGTTATACAGCAAGGGGAAGTTAAGTTTGCTCATCAGCTGACTTTAAGATTAGGAGGCTATCATAGGTTATCTGGGTGAGCCCTGTGTAATCAGAAGAATCTTTTGAAATGGGGAGAAGGAAGCAGAATAGTCAGTGTAGAGTGATGTGATATGAGAAAAACTAGTCTGGCCACTGGTGGCTTTAAAGGTGATAGTGGGCCACAAGCCAAGGACTGCAGGCAGTTTTTAGATGCTGAAAAAGGCAAGAAAATGAGTTTTCTCTTACAGCCTCCAGAAGGAATGTAGTGCTACTGATACCTTGATTTTAGACCAATGAGACTCATTTTGGACTTCTGATCTCCAGAACTGTGAGATAATAGATTTGTGTTGATTTAAGTCACTAAGTTTGTGGTGATTTGTTTGAGCAGCAATAGGAAACGAATACAAATTTTCCTGCATGGAAGTGTGGTGCTGGTGTAAGAAATACCTAAAAAATATGGAAGTGGCTTTGGAACTGGGCAATGGGCAGATGCTGGATGAATTTTTAGGAGCATGATAGAAAAAGCCTAGATTGCCTTAAATAGACTTTCAGTAGAAATATGGTTATTGGTGACTCTATTATTGAGGACTTAGAAGAAAGTGAAGAGCATGGTAGAGAGAAAATCTAAATCACCTCTGAATATTCCTAAATTATCATAAGCGAGCATTGGTTAGGTATAGACATTGAAGGAACTGCCATTGAGGGCTCAGATGGATATAAAGAATTTTTATTATAAACTGAAGGAAAGGGGACCCTTCTTACACAGTGGCAGAAAACTTAGCTGAATTGTACCCTGTGGTTATGTGGAAAGCAAAACTTGTAAACAATGAACTTAGATTTTAGCTAAGGTGATTTGTAAGCAACAAAAGTGTTGAAGGTGCACTCTGGCTTTTTCTTGCTGTTTGTAGTAACGTGAGAGGAGAGAGAGAGATTTAGGGAATAATTGTTGAGCAAAACATATTCATAACTTGATATTTGAGAAATTATCAACCTATTCAGATTCCAAAACATGTTAAAATAGGATATTCACTGTTAGGAATACCTAGTCTGAAAAGAAAGCCAAGGATGTGACTAGAAAATATTTTGCTAGTGCCTCAGAAATATCAAAAGGTCAGAGTATTCAGTTACATTGAGGGCTCTTTGAAGAACATATGACTCATAGATCCCCTCAACCATTTCAGCAGAGGTCACAAATAGAGATGGAATTATCCAAGAAATATCTATGGAGGAGCCTTTTTTGTTTAATGGAGTGAATCCCCATGACATACATGGGAGATCTACAAGGTTCTTAAGAATATTATGGCAGTAAAATTGCTGCTGGTGTGGCCTGAAAGAATCAGTGAGAGAATAAAATGAAAGAAGGTGTTGGATCCCCAAAATTCTACAAGCAAAAAACAGGCTGACTTGGCTGTCAACATCTTTCTATGAAGCTACCTTTCATGAAAAAAGAAGGTTAATTCAAAGGGCAGAACTCAGAGCCCAGAGCATGGAGCTGACTCCAGAGGGTGGAACCAATAATTACAGAAGCTTATTTCTAGACCTTGAAACCAAGTGGTGTTTGCCTGGCTGGATTTTAAAGTTGCTTGGATATGGCAATTGTTTTTTTTTCTTTCTTCCATTTTCTCCCTTTTTGAATGAGAATATTTAGAACTATCATCTTTATCTGCCTTACCATTGTGTTTTTGAGAGCAGATACTATGTTTCAAGGTGTGCCTCAGAATGGATTATATGCAGCGCCTTTCTCATACCTGTTTTAGATGATTTGGATGATGAGATTTGAGACTTTTGTTTTTGTTTTATGTTTTGTTACTTAAAATTTAATTATTTTTAAATTGACAAAATTGTATACATTTATTGTGTACAACACAATATTTTGAAATATACATTGTGGAATGGCTAAATTGAGCTAATTAACATATTCATTACCTCATGTACTTATAATTTTTTTTGGTGAGAACACTTAAAATCTATTTGAAATTTTGAAGAGTACAATGTATTATTACTATAGTCATTATGTTGTACCATAGATCTCTTGAACATATTGTGCCATCTAATTGAATTTTGGTCCTTTGACCAACATCTCCCCAACAACTATCCCCCATCCCCAGGCCCTAGTAACCAGCATTCTACTTTCTGCTCCTATAAGTTCAACTTTTTAAGGTCCCACATATAAGTGAGATCATGTGGTATTTGTCTTTCTGTGAAGGGCTTATTTCACTTTACATAATGTCTTCCAGGTTGATCCACGTTGTCTCAAATAACAGGATTTTCTTCTTTGAGGTGGAATAGTATTCCATTGTGTACATATACCACATTTTCTTTATGTGTTCATTTGCATTCGTATGTTCTTTGCAGCATTATTCATAATTGTCAAGATGTGAGATCAACCTAATTAATGGTCACCAATGGATGAATGAATACAGAAAAATGTCATTGGAATTTTAATAAGGGTCGCAGTAAATCTGTAGATCATTTTGGATAGTGTGGAAATTTTAACAATATTAATTCTTTGAATCCATGACCAAAGCATATCTTTTCATTTATTTGTGTCTTCTTCATTTCTTTCATCAGTGTTTTATAGTTTCAGTATACAGCTCTTTCACCTTCTTGATTAAATTTATATGTAAGTATTTTATCTTTTTCATAGCCATTGTAAATGAGATTGTTTTCATGATTTCTTTTTCAGGTAGTTCATTTTTTTTTTTTTTTTTTTTTTTTGAGATGGAGCCTCACTGTTTCACCTAGGCTGGAGAGCAGTGGTGAGATCTAGGCTCACTGCAACCTCTGCCTCCTAGGTTCAAATTATTCTCCTGCATCAGCCTCCCAAGTAGCTGAGATTACAGGCACCCGTCACTACACCCGGCTAATTTTTGTATTTTTAGTAGAGACAGGGTTTCACCATGTTGGCCAGGCCAGTCTTGAACTCCTCACCTCAAGTGATTGGACCGCCTCGGGCTCACAAAGTGCTGGGATTACAGGTGTGAGCCACTGCACCTCACCAGTTTATTGTTAACATAGAGACACTACTTTTTGTTTGTATATTGATTTGATATCCTGAAACTCTACTGAAATCATTTATTAGTTCTGACAATTTTTTGGTGGCATCTTCAGGATTTTCTAGATATAAGATGATGTCAAATGCAAGCAGGGATAAGTTAACCTCTTCCTTCCCAATTTTGATGCCTTTTATTTCTTTCTCTTGCCTAATTGCAAGTCTAGGACTTACAGTACTATGTTGAATAGAAGTGGCAAGATTGGGCATCCTTGTCTTTTTCCTTATTTTAGAGGAAAAACTTTCAACTTTTTACTGTTGAGTATAATGTTAGCTGTAGATTTGTTATATCTGAACTTTATTGTGTTGAGATACATTTCTTCTATACATTTATTGAGAGTTTTTATCATGAAATGATGTTGAATTTTGTCAAATGTTTTCCTGCATATGTTGAAATGATCATGTGGATTTTGTCCTTTATTCTGTTAATTTGATGTATCACATTTATAGATTTGTGTATGTTGAGCCATTCTTGCCTCCTTGGGATAAATCCTACTTGATCATGGTGAATGATACTTTTAATGTGCTGTTGAGTTTGGTTTGCTAGTATTTCGTTGAGGATTATTTCATCTCTGTTCGTCAGCAATATTGGCCTGTAATTTTCTTGTAGTATCCTTATTTGGCTTTGGTGTCATAGTAATGCTGGCCTTATAAGATAAATTTGGAATTTATTCCCTCTTCTTCATTTTTTTGGAAGAGTTTGAGAAGGATTGGTATTGGTTATTTAAATAGAGTTTAGCAGTGAAGCCATCAGGCCTTGGACTTTTCTTTGATGAAGGACTTTTTATTATTGATTCAATTTGCTTACAAGTTATTTGTCTGTTCAGATTTTTCATTTTTTCATGATTTTGTCTTGGTAAGTTGTATGTGTCTAGGAATGAATACATTCCTAGACATATACACTTAAACTTCTAAGTTTATCTAATTTGTTGGCATATAATTGTTTATAGTAGTCTCATGATGTTTTGTATTTCTGTGGTATCAGTAATAATGTCTCTTCTTTCATTTCTGATTTTATTTATTTGAGTCTTCTCTCTTTTTTCTTAAATTTCTTAGCTAAAGGCATGTCAATTTTGTTTATCTTCATTAGAAAACAACTCTCTGTTTCATTTATTTTTTCTATTAATTTTAGTCTCTCTCATTTATTTCTGCTCTGATCTTTATTATTTCATTCCTTTGGTCTTACTTTGGTCTTATTTTGTTTTTCTTTTTGTAGTTCATTTATTTGTAACTTTAGGTTATTTGTTTGAGATTTTCTTCTTTTTAAATGTAGGCATTTGTTGCTATAAACTTACCTCTGAAAACTGCTTTTGCTGCATCCTTTATGTTTTGGTATGTTGTGTCCATTCTCATGTGTTTCAAGATGTCTTCTAATTTCCCTAATTTCCCCTTTCCTTCTAATTTCCCTTTTAATTTCTTTTTTGACCAATTAGTTGTTCATGAGCATGTTAATTTTTATGTATTTGCAAATTTTGTGGAATTCTCCTGTTACTGATTTCTAGTTTCATATCTACTTTAATCTTGTCTGGCTACTACAACAAAATATCTTAGATTGGGTAATTTTTTTATTTCTCACAATTCTGGAGGCTAAGAAGTCCAAGATCAAGGTGCCAGCAGATTTGGTGTCTGGTGAGGGCCATTCCTCATAGATTACACCTTCTTTGTGTCTTCACATAGTGGAAGTGATGAATGCTGTATCCTCACATGGCAGAAGGGCAAGAGACTCTAGGGTGCTTCCTTCAGTCTCTTTCATGAGACCATTAATCTTATTCATGAAAGTGGATCACTCATGACTTTCCAAAAGGCCCCACCTCTTGATAATATCACATTATGCATTAGGTTCCAACATTTGAATCTCGGAAAGACGTATACACTTAAACCATAGCAATACCATTGTGGTTAGAAAAGGTACTTGATATGATTTCATTATTTTTAAATTTGTTAAAACTTTTTTTTTTTAATTTTTTTTTTTATTATACTTAAAGTTTTAGGGTACATGTGCACATTGTGCAGGTTAGTTACATATGTATACATGTGCCATGCTGGTGCGCTGCACCCACTAACGTGTCATCTATCATTAGGTATATCTCCCAATGCTATCCCTCCCCCCTCCCCCGACCCCACCACAGTCCCCAGAGTGTGATATTCCCCTTCTTGTGTACATGTGATCTCATTGTTCAATTCCCACCTATGAGTGAGAATATGCGGTGTTTGGTTTTTTGTTCTTGCGATAGTTTACTGAGAATGATGGTTTCCAATTTCATCCATGTCCCTACAAAGGACATGAACTCATCATTTTTTATGGCTGCATAGTATTCCATGGTGTATATGTGCCACATTTTCTTAATCCAGTCTATCATTGTTGGACATTTGGGTTGGTTCCAAGTCTTTGCTATTGTGAATAATGCCACAATAAACATACGTGTGCATGTGTCTTTAGAGCAGCATGATCAGAGTGAACAGGCAACCTACAACATGGGAGAAAATTTTTGCAACCTACTCATCGGACAAAGGGCTAATATCCAGAATCTACAATGAACTCAAACAAATTTACAAGAAAAAAACAAACAACCCCATCAAAAAGTGGGCGAAGGACATGAACAGACACTTCTCAAAAGAAGACATTTATGCAGCCAAAAAACACATGAAAAAATGCTCATCATCACTGGCCATCAGAGAAATGCAAATCAAAACCACTATGAGATATCATCTCACACCAGTTAGAATGGCAATCATTAAAAAGTCAGGAAACAACAGGTGCTGGAGAGGATGTGGAGAAATAGGAACACTTTTACACTGTTGGTGGGACTGTAAACTAGTTCAACCATTGTGGAAGTCAGTGTGGCGATTCCTCAGGGATCTAGAACTAGAAATACCATTTGACCCAGCCATCCCATTACTGGGTATATACCCAAATGACTATAAATCATGCTGCTATAAAGACACATTGTTAAAACTTTTTTAATGGTCTAACAGGTGATGTATCCTGGAGTGTGTTCCATGTGCACTTGAGAAGAATGAGTATGCTGCTGCTGTTGGATGAAATGTTCTTTATATGTCTGTTAGGTCCATTTGATGTAAAGTGTAGTTTAAATTAAATGTTTCCTTATTGATTTTCCGTCTGGATGATCTGTTCATTGCTGAAAGTAGGGTATTAAAGTTCCCTAGTGCTATTGTATTGTATTGCAGTCTATCTCTTCTTTTAGATATATTAATATTTGCTTTATATATTTAGGTGCACTGATGTAAAGTGCATTTATATTTACAATTGTTATATCTTCTTGATAAATTTATCTCTTTATATAATGTACTTTGTCTGATTTTACAGTTTTTGACTTAAAGTCTACTTTATTTGATGTAAGTATAGCTATCCTGTTCTATTTTGTTTTCCATTTCCATGGAATTTTTTTTTATTCCTTCACTTTCTGTCTTCATGTGTTGTTAAAAGTGAAGTGAGTCTCTTATAGGTGGCATGTATCTGGGTCTTGCTTTTTATTTTTTAAATACATTCAACCACTTTATGTCTTTTGATAGCAGGATTTAATCCATTTGCTTTCAGGGTAACTATTGATAGGTAAGAACTTACTACAGGTATTATGTTAATTGTTTTATGGAAGTTTTGGACATATTTATTCCTTTCTTCCTCTCTTGTTGTCTTCCTTTGTGCTTAGGTGATTTCCTCTGGTGGTATGCTTTGATTCCTTTCCTTTTATCTTTTATGTATCTATTGTAGATTTTTTTCTTTGTAGTTACCACAAGGCTTACGTAAAACATTTTGTAGTTAAAACAGGCTATTTTAACCTGATAACAACTTAACTTTGATCTCATAAGAAAAACTCTACACATTTACAGCCAACTCCCTGCCTACATTTTATTTTATTTTTTAATGCACCGTTTGCATCTTTTTATATCATGTATTCCTTCATAAATTATTATAGCTTTTATTATTTTTAAATAGTTTTGACTTTTAACCTTCATACTGAAGATATAAGTGATTTACACACTACCATTATAGTATTTGAGTATTCTGAATTTGACTTTGTACTTCATTTTACCAATGAGTTTTATATTTCAGATGTTTTCATGTTACTAATTAGCATCCTTTTCTTTGAGCTTGAAGAACTCCCTTTAGCATTTCTTGTAAGACAGGTCTGGTGATGATGGACTCCCTTAGCTTTTGTTTGTCTGGTAAAGTCTTTATCTCTCCTTCATTGTTGAAGGGAATGTTTGCTGGGTTCAATATTCCTTGTTAGCAGTTTTTTTTTATTACTTCTACAATTTTAATATCACCCAGCTCTCTCCTCGTCTGTAAGACTTCTGTTGAGAAAACTTCTGTTAGCTTTATTGGAACTCCTTTATATGTGATTTGGTTCTTTTACTAGTTTTAGGATTGTTTTTGTCTTTGATTTTTGACAGTTTGATTATAATATGTCATGATATAGTCTTATTTGGATTGAATCTGATTGAAGACTGTTGACCTTTCTGTATCTGGATATCTTTCTCCAGATTTGAAATGTTTTCTGCTACTATTTCTTTAAAGAAGCTGGAAACCATCATTCTCAGCAAACTAACACAGGAACAGAAAACCAAACACCACATGTTCTCACTCATAATTGGGAGCTGAACAATAAGAACACATGGACACAGGGAGGGAAACATCACACACTGGGGCCTGTCGTGGGGTGGGGGGCTAGGGGAACGAATAGCATTAGGAGAAATACTTAATGTAGATGACAGGTTGATGGGTGCAGCAAACCACCATGGCACGTGTATACCTATGTAACAAACCTGTATGTTCTGCACATGGATCCCAGAACTTAAAGTATATGTATGTGTGTGTATATATGCTTTTTTACTTGTCTCTTTCTTCTTCCTTCTTAAACTCCTGATGCCGTCCCATAAATCCTGTAAGTTTTCTTCTTCTTTCCATTTCCTTCTTTTTTCTTTTCTGACTATATATTTTCAAATAACCTGTCTTTGAGTTCACAGATCCTTTCTTCCAGTTGATCATTCTGTTGGTATTACTGTCCATTGCACTTTTCATTTTGTGCACTGTGTTTTTTAGCTGAAGAATTTGTGTTTTTTCTAAATATAATTTTAAACTTTCCATTAATCCCTTTTCTGTTTAGAAAAAAAAGTGCAGCTCACTGTCAGCACTCATTGAATTTTGCATAAACATGCTTTTTGAGGCTGAAGCAAATCTGACTGATTTTCAATGTGAAAATAAAATATAAAAACTGTTTTTAGAGTTATTTATTAACAGAACTAACATCAGAATTATTTGAATCACCAGAATAATCAATTCTGGAAAAATCAGATTCATCAGATTAATCTTTGGCCAACAACTGTTCAAGAACAATGTTAACATCTGCATGGCAATGCTACATTTTCTAGGATTTGACATTTTCAGCAATTGAGAATTACTATATTTTTAAATGGAAATACCACTATTAAAAACAGAATGCTATAAATAGAATGATGTCTTTTGTTTCTAAAGCCTATATACTGGAGCAATGTAAAAATAATAATAAAAGCAAGATATTTCATGGCAAAGTTAGCTCAGAGTAAACACTGCAGCTGCAAGCGCTGCTGGTGAGTATTCGTGGGGCAAATGGGAAAAGAGTTAAACTTCTAATTTTGATCTCTTATTATTTTCCTGATTTTATTGAATTATTTATATGTACTTTCTTGAGGTTTTCTGAGCTTCATTAAAACAATTGTTTTGGATGCTTTGTCATGAAGTTTATATGTTTTCATTTCTTTGGGGTCAGCTATTGGGAGATTATTGTGCACTTTTGGTGGTGTTATATCTCCTTGGCTTTTTATGTTTCTTGTTGCTTGTGTTGAAGTCAGTGCATTTGAAGGAGTAGGGACTTATTCTAGTCTTTGCAGACTGGCTTTGTCTGGGAAAGCTCTTCACCAGTCAGCCAGTTCATAGATTCCAGGAAGACTGTCTGGCATGGTTGGTGGGAAGACTTATTGCTGGAGTTCTCAGACAGGCTGTCCTGGTGACTGGGTTAGCAGTTTGGCAGGCCTGTTGCCTGGACTCACTGATTGGGTCTGTGGGGCTAGCCTGGAGCCATAGTCCATGGTCGCTGCCCTGGTGATGGAATGGGCATCCTTAGACCCAGCTTTGGGCTGGCCCCTGTGGATAGAGGCTGCCAGCTTGGTATTAGGGTAGGCCTGAAGCCTGGGACAGTGAGGGCCAGCTCAGCTCTCGGGGTAGTCCAGAGCCCATGGCTGCTGCAGCTGCTTGTTTCTGGGATGGGTCTGGAGCCTGGGTCTATGGGGGCCAATCTAATGTTGAGACTGTTTCAGAGCCTGAGGCTACTGGGGTTGGGCTGACAGTGGGGCAGCCCAAAGACCAAGTCTGATTGGCCAGCCTGGAGCCTGAGGCTGTGGGATCCGGTTTGGCACTAGAATGGGTTTGGAGGCTCAATCTGTGGGTACCAGCCTAGAGTCTGTGACTGTGGAGTCGTGCCTAGTGTTGAGCTTTACTGAGTCAGGCCTATTTTTGGGGTCTGAAACAAAGTCAAGTGCTCATTTTTATTTCGTTTCCTCAAGATTATTGCTTTCCATGCTGTGCTGCCTGGCACTGGGGAAAGGTGAGATGGGTAACGTAAAATTGTCCTTACTGCTCTCTTCAGTATGCCTTTTCTTAGTTCTGTGCCACACCCAGGTGCTGCAATCTCTCACCTGGTTTTCTTAGCTTTTGTGATGGTATATTGTTATGTGTTGATAGTTGTTCTAATTGATGTTTCTATCAGGGGGATGAGGGCTGGAAAGTTGTATTCCACCATCTTTCTAATGTGTGGTTCTTGGTACTTCTGAATTAATTAAGATTTAGATGAGATTTTGAACTTTGAGTTGATACTTCAGTGGGCTGGAAATTTGGGGGACTTTTGCATGTACAATGGATGTGAATCTTTGGGGGTCAGGAGAAAGACTGTGGTAGGCTGATTGAGAGTCAGCTGTCCACATACTAATCCCCAGAATCAGTGAATATATTGTTATGTGGCAAGGGGAGATTAGATTTGCAAATGAAATTAAGGTTGTTAATCGACTGACTTAAAAATAAGATTATTGTGGATTATCTAGCTGGGCCCAATGTAATCACAAGGGGCCTTTTAATTGTGGGAGAGGGAGGTAATTGAGTATGTGTCAGTGTGATGCAATGTGAGACTTGACTGGCCATCTCTGGCTTTGAAGTTGGAAGGTGGCCATGAGTCAAGAAATGTGGACATTCTCTAGAAGCTGTAAAAAGCAAGAAAACAAGTTTTCTCTTAGAGCCTCCAGAAGGAACATAGCCCTACTGACACCTTGATGTCTGCTTAGGGAGACCCATTTTGAACTTCTAATCTCTAGAACTGCAAGACAAATTTGTTAATTTAGCCACTGAGTTTGTAGTATTTGTTACAGCAGAAATAGAAAACTAATATATATCTTGAACATTAGCAGTTATTTATTTTATAACCAAATTAAACTTTCTTTTGAGTTCTCATTTAACTATGCAACAGAATGTGTTTATGGAGTGGTTTGCAACTTGGTATTGACAGTTACCATGTCATATTAGTCATTTGGGACGTACAATAGGTTTCTTTACATGTCAATTCAGTCTTTATGGTAAATGCTAAGTATTTAAGGGATTCTCCCCACCATTTATGAACTAATTCTGAGAACAAATAGAGTAAAATCAAGTGTCTAGTTTTTTATTGTATTTTTTTTTCAAAAATACACCCTTTCTCCTCAAAATGTTAATCTGGATGTGGAGGGGAAAAGTCAGAAAGCATTAATATTTTGAAGATAGAAGGGACAACACTTAGCATGCTATTTGGCACCCAGCAAGTGTGGTAGCTGTAATTATTGACAGGGTCAAACATAACTAGAAGACCCCTCTGAAAAGTACAAGGGATATCAGAGGAACACTGCCTTGATTTTGGAGGACCTGGAGCAATCTTGACAGGCTCTGGCAGGTGAACGACTTTCAGTGTCATGGCTGAAGTACACTCTGGGTAACAGCTGAAATGAAGAGTTTCTATCTTTCTTTGGCTTTATTCCACCTCTCGTTGGCTTATTCTCTTCATGTTGGGTCTGGATCCCATTCTTGTAGGCATCTATTCTTTCTCTTATTCTAGATTATCTGTCTATAATTCAATACCTACCAAGGTACTAACTGATAACTGAGGCATTAGACAACAAGGCTTTATGGTGTGATATGTCTCCTGTTTATTTTTATTTTTTTCTTGAGATGGAGTCTCACTCTGTCACCCAGACTGGAGTGCAATGGTGCAATCTCAGCTCACTGCAACCTCCACCTCCTGGGTTCAAGCGATTCTCCCACCTCAGCCTTCTGAGTAGCTGGGATTCCAGGCACCTGCCGTTATGCCCAGCTAATTTTTGTATTTTTGTGGAGACGGGGTTTCACCATGTTGGGTAGGCTGGTCTTGAGCTCCTGACCTCAGGTGATCCGCCTGCCTCGGCCTTGTAAAGTGCTGGAATTACAGGCGTGAGCCACTGCACCCAGCCTTCCTGTTGATTTTAATTCAATTCAAATTAACAAATATTTATTGCACTGCTTCTATTTTAAGGATGGGGATCACAATATAATAGGGAAAGGAAAATGTCTATATAAATTATTACAGTAAAATAGGAACCAAAATTTTATCGTAAATCATGAAAAAGAAAATTTGGGACTTTATCTTGAAGAATGATTAGAAAACTAGGAAAATTGTATCCTAGTCTATATATGACAAATTGTAGGTAATCATTTAACCACAAGCGAATTCTAAGAAGAAACAGAGTAAAATCAAGTATTGAGTGTTTTGTTGTTGTTGTTTGTGTTTGCAAAAATATCTGAGGACTCTCTCTTAATCCTTGAATGTGAAATCATTCTATTTTGAAGTACTTATCATTCTGGTTAAATTTTAATTTTAATTTAAAAAATGTATCCACCTGCATCAGATAATCATAACTTAGGGCCTTTTTGTGTCATTTGAGCACTTGCTTACATTGCTTTTATTGACTTCATGAAATTTTTCATCTTTTGCTAGATTTCAGTTTCTAATTGACATTGCCGGGATAGACATTAGTCTTAGATGGAAACATTTTCTAAGCAAACAACTTATTGGTGAATACTGTTGTTGTGGTGACTTTCGCTTCACCATATAAACTCATATTTGTAGAGACTTGGATATTGATTCTTGTAATTAAAAAGGATTAGTGAAGGAGCTGTTGGGGAAGAAAAAAGTATAGCATAGCTTCTCCTTCTTTCATGTGGCCAGCTGTCAGGAACTGGGCACTTGGGCACATATTCCCTGAACTGTTTTTGATGACGCCTCTGCTAATAGTCTTCATTCTTGGGAAAGGGTGAGTAACCCAGGGCAACCATGTGTCTCTCCCTACAAAGGAAATATATGGAATGAAGTCTGAAAAATCACTGCTCTGAAAGGTCACATTGTATTCCAGACAAAGGGAAGGAATGATGGAGGTAATTCTGAGTTCATATTGATGTGCAGTAGCATTTAGGAGCACGGCCTGGGAGCTAGACATCTTCATCTCCAGTCTTGGCTCCTTTACTAGTTGTATGAACTTGATCTTGTTACTTATTTCTGCCTCAATTGGCATAGTAATAGTACTACTTCTTAGGGTCAATGTGTGCATCATAGGAACAAAACTATGCCTGACATTTACTAAACATTCATTAAATCTTAATTATTATTTTTATTTTGGAATTAGCTTATCAGAGGATCATGCTCCCTTGGACTTTTGAGGGGCTTTCAGGTGGAAATGCTAGATTTTGTGTAGGAGCTAAAGTCAGATGACTTTCATGTGCTAAAGGGAGGACAGGTGAAGGTCATCTGGGCATGGGGGGAAACTGCCCCTAAAGCATCTTCTGTTCTACTTTTGCTGTTTTTAGTTCTTAATGGGGAGTAAAGGATATATGGATTTGGGTAGAAAGGGATGAGGATAAATGGCAGATTAGGAAAGGAAGGAATTTAATCTGCCTTGTTGTGCCAATGTTTTAGAAGTTGGGGAGCATTGAGAAAACCAGTAAAGGAAGATTCAGGGCATAGCTCCTCTCTACAGCAACCCCAACATAATTACTTTACAAGCACAATTAAAGCTTAGGTTTTGAGTTCTATATTGTGGGGATAAGTTTTAGAAGTTCTGAAAAACAAATGACACAATTGTTTTACCTGGCTCTGTCTGGATAACCTTGGCGTTCCTTGGTATTGATTTGATCTGTTGGTGGGAGCTGGTGATGGAGGATAAGATTTCAGGGAACCTTGAATAGTGTTTCAGGGGCCGGTGGAATGTTGACGGATCTCCTGTGAAGTGGATCTTTGTGAAGTGGGTTTATTTTTCCCTACATTTCCTGTTACTTCTTTGGTATTGTTTCTTGATTATCATTCTTGCATTACTACTTATTTCTACAATCTAAAGTCCTTGTGCTGATTTCGATTCCAGTAGCACCTGTAACTGTAGTCGTTACATGATTTACTGTCTTTTAATGAGAATGTAGGTTCTCTAGGGAAAACACCATTTCCATCTATTTCTCTTGGCCCCCAGCAACTCTGTGCTGGCCTCCTTCTTTGCCATTCTTCCTGGTTCCTTTTCCTGGTGAACTCTTACATATCATTCAGGATTCAGGTAGGTTGTCACTTTGGCTACAAATTCTTCCTTTGGTGGAATTATTGTTTGTTACTTTTTATGTGCTCTCTTAGTATCCTCTGATACAATACCCACCACACTGTATTATAATTTTTTTGTGTAAAGTAATCTGATCACTTCTCCTTTCCTCCCTGTACCTCTTTGGTCCAAGCTACCACCCTCTTTCACTTGGATTACTGCAGTAGCCTCCTAAGTAATCTGCCTGCTTACACTCTTGCTTCTCTGCAGTCTGTCCTTCACATAGTTGCCAGAGTGATCCTTTTAAAATGTAATACATATCATGTCACTGCTTTGCTCCAAGCTTTCAGGGGTTCTTCGTTTCACTCAAAATAAAAGACAGAGTTCTTATTATGCCCTATAAAGTCTTACCTGCACACTCCCACTCCCACCCTTTTACTTTTCTGACCTCATCTGCTTCTCTCTTTCTTGCTTATTTTGCTTTAACGCCAGTGGCATCCTTGTTTCTCAAACATGCCAGGCAGGTACTCTCCTGCTGCAGGGCTTTTGCACTGGCTGTCCACCGTGCCCTGGAATGCTCTTCCCCCAGACAGCTGCATGTTTTCCGCCTTACTTCTTTCAAACGTTTTTCTCAGATAACAAGTTTTTAATGAGGCCTCTAATGATCACAGAGTAAAATTTCAACTTGTCTTTTACCTCCCAAATATTCTTGATACTCCTTACTCTGATCTGTTAGTTTCCCTAACACTTATTATTTACCATACTGTATAATTCATTTACTTATCATTTGAATTGTTTATTGTTTGTCTCTGCTGCTAAAAAGTAAAGTGCATGCGGGCAGGGATTTTTGAATGCTTAATTTACTGATATGAATCCCAAATGTCTAGCATAGGAGAGGAAGGAATTTAATCTGCCTTGTTGTACCAATGTTTTAGAAGATGGGGAGCATCTCTATATATTTGTTAGATTAATATGCTTGACTTCTTGACTAGATTGTGATCTCCTTGGGGCTTGAGTCTCTGCATTGTTTCTTCTTGTAGCCTCCTGGCCTACCATGGTTGCACACATAATGTGCTTAGTAAGCCCTTGCTAAGTGAATACTTGTGGCACTGAATTGAGCCCATTTGTTCATGACAAATATGATTACTTTCGTGACTTTATGTTTTGTATTTATGTAACTTTAATGAAAGCTGAAGAGCTCTTTCTAAAAATCAAAATACCTGCTTTCTTCTCTAGTCATAAGGAAAGGTAAGAGGGTGGAGAGGCATGGAAAAAATGGTAGTTCTGTTTAACTTTGAATAACTCCAAATTATCCTGAGAGGGTCCTTCTCCAGCCTATGATGAAGTGTGCCACAGAGGAAATAACAGCATTTTGAAGAACCTGGACATCCTGAATGCTTCTTGATGATGAGAGTTTAAATTTTTAGTTTGAAGTATTGCGAATTCAACATTTAGCAGAGACACTCATATTCATATGACAGTCCTGAGAAACATTTCCAAGGCAGATAAAGATTAAGTTGGATTATTTATGCTATGGTACTTCTCCATTATTGCAAATAAGCCAGACAAACTGGAGTGCATCCAGGGTACAGCAACCAGGGAGTTGAAAGGTTTGGAAACTATGCCAGATGAGGGATGATTGAAAGACCTTAGAATTTTTAGCCCGTACAATAAAATACAGTGGCAGTGTGACAATTTCTCTAAGATTTTGGAAGGACAGTCATGTATAGAAAGACTTAGACTGATTTTGTGTTATTCTAGAGCAATAATTCCCAGATGTCAGCTTGATGATCAGTGGTTTATTGAATGCCTTGTTAAAAAGATTCCCTGGCTTTCCTAAACTTAGTGAATCTAAATTTCTGGGGATGAATCCCAGGAATCTATATTTTTAAGAAGTTTCCTGTGATTCTGATGTTTAGCCAAGCTTGTGAACCATTGTCTCAAACTGAGCTCTCCAATACAGTAGCCACTAACTACCAATTGCTGTTGAATAGTTGAAATGTGCTTAATACAAATTGAGGAGTGATATAAGTATAGAAATACATACTAGGTGCTGAAGACTTAGTATAAAATATAAAATCTCATTAATATTTTTATGTTGGTTATATGTTGGAATAATATTTTGGATAGTGGGTTAAAGAAATATATTATTCAAATTAAAATCACTTGTTTTTACTTTTTTAAGGTGGCTACTAGGAATGTAAAATTACTTATGTGACTCATCTTTATGGCTCTTATACTTCTATTGGACAACACTGGTGTAAACGGCAAAACTAGGTCTCTGAAAAAAGTTGGGAATAGTCATTTTAAGATAAATGCTTTCAACAAAGTTCCAACATTTAAGTAACTTTTTTTTTTGGAATAGCTATCCTTCTATCTGTCCATCTATCCAGTCATCCATCCACCCATCCACCCATCCATCCATCCATCCATCCATCCACCCACCCACCCATCCATCCACCCATCCATCCACCCATCCATCCATCCATCCATCCATCCATCCATCCAATAAACATGTCTCTAATAATACTTAAGTGGAGATTAGATAACAGTATTTTAGCAAAAATGTTTCAATGATGTGTAGATGGGAGTTAGATTAAACGATTTCTGAAGTCACTTGCATTCAGCCAGAAGTAAATTTCGTCCTTCCTTTTAGTTAACTTTTCTTTTTCTTGTAACCCCTGATGTCCGTAACATCCTCTTTTTCATCTCTCTGACAATCTTTAACACTATGTTCAAAACAGTTCCCTCCTAAAGAGCATCTTGGATTGTTCTAATGCTTTCTTTGCTACTGAGAGATATCCTGCCCTTTACTCCTGTGCTGTGCATTGTGTATCTGTTTTATAAATATGTATTCTTAATAGTAGTGATCTACTTTATTTCTTCCATACACTGGTGTTTTAGGGCTTAATCTATTTTGCTTGTCTATTTAAATTGAGAATCCCCTAGGCAAGCACTGTGTCTAATTCTATATCTGTACAGTCTAACACATTGTACTGATGGACCATTAAGTGTCCCAGAAAAAATGCCAAATAGGTTAAGTATTTCAGAGCAGAACGTAACCTATATTTTTAGAACTTATTTAAATTTCCAGTGGTAATTAGTAGCTGGATATCTTTACTATGAATTGCGTTTGTTGACACATACTTGTAACTGAGCAGAGTTCTTCCTGGAGACTGATGGATTGTTAAGAAAGGCATATAAAAATGTTTCCTTTAGGCTACCAATGAGATGCAATGCTCCTAGTAACTGAACGTTGAACCTGGATGTTTTCTGAGAGCCTGTTGACTTTGTTTGGAGGAGGACATGTCCTTCACTGATGTATTCTTCTCACATGTCATCAGATTGCTAATTATACTATAAAAATAGATTTATTTAAAGTATATGAGTACTCCAGAGAGGCAGCTTATTTTATGACACTATCATTCATATGTTTGTTTTTCCTTCTGAGACTGATTTTCATAAGTTCTGTTGTAATGTAAGTATTAGTGTTACTGCTTTTGTTAATACTTTCTATTCCCTGATGTTCAGATTGAATTTTTATGTAGGATACCTAATAGATCGTTTAATTCAACCAACTCAGGAAAGCACTATGACTCTAGGCTTTATGTTTTTGCCTTTCAAATGAAAAGAGGGATTTTTTCACTCTAGGAGAAGAAATATCATATCCCAAATAAAGGGGAGAAATGTTTAAAATGTCTCAAAGGAGGAATTGTTCAGTCCAAATTTGACTCTAAAGAATTCAGACTTGGGTTTGCCTGGGATCTTAATACACTTAATGTTTCACTATTATTTTGAAGGAAAATGCGTAGAAACAACTTTACCAATTTCCTTAAACTTAAAATCCAAAGGTCAGAAATTGGACTTTTAAAATTCCTAACTCAAATCTGGATTGTCTTCACTGAAATCTTTCTGAAGCTTATTATTAATTTCTATGATAAACCATAATCCTGAAGATATGAGACACTTTTAAGTTATACATTTTTATAAGACTATTATGTTATGGGTTAAAATGAAGACATATTTGAAGTTGAAATGCAGTGGATATAAGAACTTGATTGGATAAGAACTTGATTTGGAGCATGGGAATTCACAAGAAATGAGGCCTCTAAAGGGAAAGAAAAGAAGGCAGAGTAAATGTATATTTATTGCCACTCACCTTGAAGACACTAAGCCTCTGATGTAGAGGTCAATTTTTTAAAAGTTGCTACAAAAATTTCATTATCCTTATCATAGGTGCCTCTACAATAAAGCATCTCATAGTACATTTTCATCCCTTTGCTGCTGTGGGTTCAATTTTTAATAATTGGGTTGCATTTCCAGGAAAATTGTGCAATTTAAATTGTTCTTTGATAACATACTTTCAAATTAGAACACGTTTCAAAGACTAATGGAAAAAAATGAGCATTCACTCTGAATCATTGACCAGGCAGGAAACTGTCGAGTGGGGAGAACCCACCTATTTAATGGATGATTACTTTTTGTTATTTTGGTCAGCAAATTAGTAAAGTCAGAGGGTGAAGTTGGGAAAATGCCAGTTAGCTTGTGGAAACTTGCAGGCTTATTTCTAAAACTTTTCAGGACTGATGTTAATTACACAGGCATCTGAAAAGCAAAAATGGGTTTTAAATGAACACTATCTTAGCTGTCTCATGAAGAAAAGAGAGGGAATGTTTAAACTGTTCCCATCTGTGTGTAACAAAGCTTTTCTCTCAGGGGAAAAACACAGAATAGAGGTGCAAATGCTGAGCTACCTCATTTTAGACTTTCTAAAGTTATATAACAACATGACAAATATGTGCTACTGGAAAATATTGTAGGAAAGGATTAATTTTCTCTTCCACACTGTCTTGATAGAAGAAGTAGGTAAGGAAAATCTAATTTGTTAACGTTTTTTTCCAGCAGTGTATGTTAAGATATGAATCTGTAGAAATACATTCTTTAGATAATTAAATTGAGATACGGAATTTCAGGCAATAGGCTCTTCATTCAAAGAAAAAGAGTAAATCAAATCCACTGTTGATATTGACGGTGAATGCATTTATATTTTAGTGGATTAAATGGAGAGAACTCATTCAAAATAAACCTGTAAAAATACAAGAGGGAACAATAGAAGGTGAAATAAATGTTATTTTTGTGTTTTTTTTGCAGAGATACTTGCTTTTAATTAGAGAAGTTAGAACCAAATGTACTTAAAAATAAAAGATCAAATGCTTTTGAAGGGCAAAATCTGTTCTTATGGCATTGTAGGTTTTGAGCAAGAACAAGATATGGCATAAGACTCCACAAAACAGATTCAGCTGTCAGTATGTGATGCGTGAAAAGACCTGGGCACTGCTGGCTCTGGAACTTGGTCTCGCTGGTACAGATTGTTGCCAACCTTGGAAACTGAAATAGGCCATTTCGCACATGGCACATCATCCCTCTGTAGGAGGAATGGGGTTTATAAATGTTAGTTGGCTACTATTCCCTCCTCCAGATAGACTGGTGAAGCATTTTTTGCATTTTGGTTTTGAAAGCACTCTTATGTTTAGAGCTGTAGTTTAATTCTATCTTTAGCTATAGCTGTAAATTAAAAAAATTACTGGTAGTAAAAATGACAGCAAAGTCATAAGCAAGATGCTAAAAAGGATTGAAACAAGATCATACTTGACTTCATTTATATCATTCTATTTTTTATTTGTGCATATTTTGTTATTGGCATGCAATCATAAACAAAGAGTCCAAATTTTGGCTTGTCTGAGGTTTTAGAACATTTAATATTTCATTATTCTGAAAGGAAATGCATAGAAATGACTGTTAAATTCTGTAGCAAATTCTTCCTGAAGTTTAACCATTAATATTTATTTATAGATATGAATTCATTATTCCTCTTGATTTATGGTAGGGGGTGGCAGTGGGTGGGTGAGTTTGGAAGACTAACCCAAGCAGATGTCATTACGGTTTCCAGTATAGTAGTGTGTTGACCAGATGGATTCAGGTGTTTCTATTATAAAGCAATAACTATTTAGAGTTCTCTTGTTGATTCTTCGAACAAAAAGGTAAGTGTTGAATTACTTGGTTAATATAAAATGTATAGCACTCTAGCCTAGTTTCATTCATAGTTATTTAGGTATGTACATATAATATAGATATTTTAAGTATACTGTGTGTAAGAGAATCTTGGACTCCCACATCTTCCTAATTAGTCCCAAGAGCAAAATTTGTCTGTTTCTTCTAATTCTTTCACCTGGAACCACCACTCTCCTCCTAAATTGCACTTCATACTTCCTGATATCTTTGGCTGTTCTCTTTAACATTGGCATCTATATTATCACCGTAGCCAAGGGTTTATGCAGTCCCTTTGGGAGCAGATTCCATTTAATGGTATTGCAAGGGCTTTAATGGTATTGCCTATTTATTCAAATTATTTGTTTTGTTGCTGGGTTTTATTTTTCTGTATTTCAGTTTGGCAGATTTTGCAATGACTCTGAGGTGCTTTAGTTTCATAAACTTACTTTATACAATGAGCCCTACATAACTGTTTTAGTATATGTTTCTGACGTTAACTTTTTACGTAAAAAGAATTACTGTTTTGCATTGATGTCTTGTTTGATAAATGAAAGATAAACTCTAATTGACTGTAATCTTCAAAAATTAAATTATAACAATTTAAAAATAACAACTTGTTAACAAACCACTAATATATTATAGTTTTAGAGCAAATAAAAATATTTTTTAAATGGCTCTCCTGATTCTTTTAAAAGAAAAATTACTAATAAGTGAATGGAATAGACATCCTTGTCACTCTATCTCTAACACTATCTCATTTACACAGATAATTCCTTTTCTACTTAAATCATTTTTGTATTGCTGGAATTTTTTATAAATTTGCATTACTTGTATAATTAATTATGAAAAAATAATAATTAAAAAACTATTTTTTAGGACTACTAAATTAGAAGTTATGTCCCTCAAAATTATCACTATCCCTATGAAGTTATACCTGTCTACTCTGTGTTTATATCTACTTTCACTGAGGTATAATTAACATGCAATTAAATGCACAAATCTTGAGTGCTTAGTTTGATGAGTTTAGATAATTGTATACAATCAGATAACCGCCACCCAAAACAAGATTTAGCATATTACCATTCCCAGGGAAAGTTCCATGTGCCCCTTTGTAGTCAGTTCCCACCTCTCCCACACAATTACTCTCTGTTTTTTCACAAAATAGACTAGTTTTGCTATATTTGGATTTTATACAAATGGAATCAAGCAATATGCTTTTGTGCCTGGCTTTTTTCACTTAAGTTAACATCTTTAAATTTATTTATGTTGTATGTATCAGTAATGCATTCCCTTTTGTTGCTGAGTATTATTTCACTGTATGAATATACCACAATTTGATGATCAATTTTCCTGCTGATAAACACCTGGGTTTTTTCTAGTCTTTGGCTATTATGAATAAAGCTGCCATAAATATTCTCTAAAAGTTTCTTTTGGACATTTACTTTTATTCCTTTTGGATAAATGTCTGTGAGAGGAAATTTGGGGTTGATGTATATTTAACTTTTTAAGAAACTTCCAAACAGTTCACCTAAGTGATTGTACCATTTTGTACTGTTCAATACTCATATAGAAATGTATGAGAGTTCTCAGTGTTTCTTGCAGTCTTTTTGATTTGATCCATTTTCATGGGTATGAAGAGATATTTCATTCTGGACTTAATTTGTATTTCCCTGATATCTCATGATGTATTCACTGATCATTATATATTTTCTATTTGTGAACTGTCCATTTAGTTGTTCTAAAAATGAGATTTGCATCTTTTTATTTTTGGTTTGTAGGATTTTTTCATTTATTATGAAAATATGCCCTTTGTTAGATGTTTATTTTGTGGATATTTTCTCCCAGTTTGTGGCTTGTCTATTTTCTTCATGGATTTCTTTGATGAGCAGGAATATTTATTTTTAATGGAGTTCAAGTTATCATTATTTTTTGTTTTGTGGTTTCAATATTTTGTGTCTTGTTCAAGAAATCCTACATGCATCTAATTTTAAAAACCTTTTAAAATTTGTGAGTTCCTGTTTCCCAATGTGTAAATTCAACAGAAAGAAACAGACCTAAATAATCTTAAAATTTTAAAGCAGCCTGTCACAACATCGTTTTGCTTACATGGGCCAGGCAAGTAATGTAAATGAGTTCACTGAACCAGATATGAGATTATGAGGGGTACTGAGGTCAGTGGGTGAGTGGGAAGGAAAGGTGTCACTTAGAGCTATTCAAATTCAAATTTACATTTCTGTAGATGCGTGGGCCACTTGGGGGTTACTGGCTTGTGACCCTTGCCTTAAAGAATTGTAACACATTTTTAATAAGTGATTTTTTTGGTCCTGTGACCACTGCTTAAAGCATGAGCTCTTTTTAGATGTGAAGTAGTGATCAGTCTATTGATTAAAAAGCCCAGTTTCTCAAATAGCCTGCCCCTTCTCTCTCTCTCTCTCTCTTTTATAAAGTGATGACAGTTCATGAGGAGAGAGGTATGGTTTTTGTGACCTCATAACTAAAACAAAGACTTGAGATCTTTGGGAGGAGTATTCTCTGGCTTCTGTCCAGGTGGGATGGGGGTGGGGAAGAAGAGGGTCTTGTCCTGTGTTTGTCTGTGTGTTGCTCTGGGGGTTGATATCCTTTGCCCACCTGTTGCTGTGTGTTCTGCTGGCACTTGTAGCTCAAGTCTATGGTTGCTGTCACTTGTTCACTGGATTTTTGTTAGCTCCATCAGAGCCCAGTGGCATCTCCTGGCTGACTGCCTTATCTTGGCTCCCATTGGTGCTATAGACCCTGGGGAGTCTGGTGCTAACTCATATTTGAGCCTAGCCTGGGAGGTTGGTCCTCTGCATCGCTTTCTATAAAGTCACTTCACCACTTCTCCAGTGTCCTTTCTGGCAAGGTCCCCAGCCAAACATTGGGACAGTTAAATTTCAGGACATCCCCTCTCCTTAGCCTTAACACTGCTGCACTTCAGTGTTTACTTTGATGTGGCTATGCCCTAAGTTTATACACTGCAGCCCCCACAGCCATCATCTTCCTGAGTCAACAGGAAGTGGGCAAGAGTCTTTTTCTGCCTTTTTTTTTTTTTTTTTTGAGACAGAGTTTCACTCTGTCGCCCAGACCGGATGCAGTGGTGCGATCTTGGCTCACTACAACCTCCGACTCCCAGGTTCAAGTGATTCTTGAACCTCAGCCTCCCGAGTACTTGGGATGACAGGCATGCAACACCACACCCAGCTAATTTTTGTGTTTTTAGTAGAGATGGGGTTTTGCCATGTTGGCCAGGATGGTCTTGAACTCCCGGCCTCAAGTGATCCACCTGCTGCAGTCTCCCAAAGTTCTCTACTCTCTTTGATACTTATTTAATACAGCTCCCTCTCTCCAGGCCAAAACCCCAAGAGAGGAAAAAAAAATCTCTTCTCTTTGCTTATTTTCTTCACAACCCTTTCCAGTCTTGCATGGAGTGGGTTAAAAAAATTTTTTTTTTAACTTCTCGCTTCTCTTTTCTGCTCCCTTGGTGTCATTGTGGAAGGAGTACAAGGCTTTTTTTTTTTTTCCCCCATTTCTTCTGTACTTAGCCAAAATCTTTCAGGCAGAAGACTGCTTAGGCTAGCTAAGGTAAATGCATTTAGAAAGGCACATTAATAATTTATAAAATATTATCCCTGTTACACATAAGAAAATAGAAACAAGTCCACTGTGTTAAATCTACTGAATTAGTCTCAGCAGAGTTGAACAATAAATATTAATAGGATATATGATTATAATACTTAAGGAATGTACAGATTGGTTTCGAAGATAGGATTAATAGAAGTAAAGCACACACATAAGACAGATAATAATCTAATACCCTTACTTCACGAGAATGAGGGTTCAAATATTCTACTTTTAATCCTGTTTGCTTCCTTACTTCACTGGTGAGGTTGGCATGGGGTGAGTTGCTGCTCTGCCCATGGTAATAATGAGTCCCTTGCCCATTACTGTGGTCCTTTTTCTGTCCTGGCCTGTCAGCCTTGGAGCTACTGGAAGCATAGAATGTTATGTAATACTCTGAGTTCTGGTATCAGGCATTGCATAGTATGGGAGAAAACTTTGCCAGGCATTAATCAGCTGCTCTCTGTAACACTCCCACAAGTGAGCTTAAAAAGCCACTTTCAGAAGTCCTGTGGCTGACACTGGCTTCGGAACATTATTGTTTATGAAATCTCAGAATGCCACAGTATATGGATGGGTTGTTTTTAATTTTGGAAGGTTGTATAACTTAAAATAAACCAAATAACATTTGTATGTGTCATACATAGAGAGCTCAAATGGAAATTGAAAGATCATTTGGACAACTTAATAAATTGGCAAGTACAAATATGTACACTTGCATAACAAACCACATATGCTATTGGCATGGGAAAAAACTAGAAAAAATATGTTTTAGGATTTATTTTGAATTGATCATCTTAATGGGTTCAGTTGCTTACAATGGAATATCATAATACTTTTGCATATTGTCTGAAAGGGGAGAATTTGGAAGAAAAATTGGAAGTTTTTCACCTAGAACCTGAGCTACTTCACTACTGCAGCCACTTAAAATGCAATAGGGTGCAGTAGCAACATTATTGACATGACAAATGATAATGGTTCCAGAGGAGCCATGCTGATAAATATTGCTAGTGATCCATAAATGGAGGACTCTCTTAGCAGGGTTTGACATGATTAGACCACAGTGGCACTAAAGAAGTCATTCCCCTCTGCAGAGTCAAGAATCTTCATAAAAACAGAGCATCCGTGTTGATGCTGACACCATAGACTGTCTGGCAATGCTGGAATTTTTCCTTATTGTAAGTGCATCATTAACTACGATGGCTCCAAAGAAACTTTTGTGGTCTTTGGGCGTCAATAATCTCTAAATATACACTTGCGTAATGAACCACAGATGCTATGTGAACATTTTCACAGACATCTGGCCTATAAGTTGTCTCTTAAATGGCCTTAAACCATGTGCATGGCCAAGTCAGTAACTTCAAGGGATGTACTCCAATCATTAGTCCATATGGTTATTAGTGCTCCTGGTGTAAATGTTCCAAGTCCATTTTTATTATATTACCATTTTCATAAGTCCAGAATGAGCACTGCCATAGTGTGGAGTAAAGGCCATTTTCTAATCTAAAGTCTTGAATTCTGAAAGCCTTCAGGATTAAACCTTTGACATGAATAGAGACGAGGCAGTCCAATAAAATGTACACCTTGGCTCAAAGACTTTCCCTGGAAGTGGAGGTAAATTGAATTTTGCTGCTTCAGGCTCTTCAGGATAACTCTCATGGAACCTGAGAGTAGATATAATAATAAAACTGACTGACCTCTGGTTTTTGCCTTAGTACTGTGTGTGTGTATGTGCATGTGTTTATGAAAAATCTCTGGTTCACAAAGTTCCAAATCTTAATTGTTAGCTTTGGGTCATTTCCTTCACTTCAGAAATTCAGTTTCCATTGAATTTAAAATGAGGATTTTTACCTTAGGACTGCCTTTCACCCCAGCTTCTCTGTAATCAAAGCTGTCCAACAGAATAGTGTCATGGAAACATCCAGTCCAATATGGTAGCCACTAACTCTGTGTGGCTGTTGAGCACTTGAAATGTGGCTAATGTGAATGAAGAACTGAATTTTAGAATTTTATTTAATTTTGATACTTTAGCCTTTATGTGACTAGTGGATTGATCTAGCCACTGTACGCTATGCACTATACTGTACTGTGTTGAACAGCACAGTTCTAAATGCTGTTCACCACTCCTGTCCCCTTCCATGTGCTTGGTGAACTTTAAGTCAGGAATTATAATACTTGATTAGCAAAGGCTATACTCAGTTAATGGGCACTATCTTTTTATACATATGCTCATTTGTGATGGGGAAAGTCTTGTTTGACATGTATAACAATATAATAGGAAGGCTAGAGTTTCTAGAATAAAATTTGGAGTCTGTATTACTTAATGACAATTTCTAAAGTTACAAGTGCTCAAATACTTTGAATTTTTCTAGTTTATAAAGAAGGAAAGCTTACCCTAGATTGAGGAAACTATATTGGAATTTTGGGACTCTCATTTCCATTTTGGAATGGAAAGTATTAAGGATTAAAAGGGTATGTAAAAAATTTCAGCAAGGGATAGGCTGGAAGTATGTGGCAACTTTCTGGAATTGAGATAATAGAATGATTATTAATTATAATTTTAAAAAATTAGATTCCTTTTATATTAATTGTGCACAGTGAAAAACTCTTCCAGGGTATTATCCTTCACTAACTGGAAAAAAGAAAGATGGAGGTTTATTGTGATCAGATCTCCAGAAATGACTACTTCCTACTAAATTAGTGATTTATTTAGGATTTTGAACTGGATTTTAAAATTTTATGTACTTATATTTGTGCTCATCTGTTAACATTTCTTTGAGTTCTAATTTATATACAGTGAAATGCACACACACTAAGCACATAGCTCAAACCTGTATATGCCATATCTCTTCACTGGTACTCCAACATTTCTCATATAAAAAAAATTCGAGCATGTTTGTGCATCTTTCCAGGTGACCCTGCCACTCCTCCTTCCCCATCCCCCACCTTTGAGGAGGCTGATTTTTACAATTGCTTAGTTTTCTATGTTGTAGTGCTTTGTCTAAATGGCATCAGAGAGTAGGTAGTTTTTTTGTATCTAGATTCCTTTGTTCTCCGTAATGTTTTTGAGATTCATCCATGTTGTTATACATCTGAAGTTTGTCCCTTTTTATTGTTAAGTAATAAGTCATTGTATAAATATATCCCAACTTGTTTTTTCTCTTCTTTTGTTGATAGACATATAAGTGTTTCCAATTTGCTATTGTTTGAATGTGTCCTCTCCAAAATTCAGTTCCCACCAATGTGGTAATATTAAGAGATGGAATCTTTCAGAGATGTTTAGGCTGTAAAGGTTTCTCCCTTGTGAATGGGATTAAGACTCTTATAAAATAGGCTTCATGCAGCATTCTACTCTTTTGCCCTTTCACCTTTTGCCACATGAAGTCACAGCATTCCATCCCTCCAGAGGCTGCAGCAACAAGGTGCTGTCTTTGTTTTTTGTTTTTTTGAGACAGGGTCTCACTCTGTCACCCAGGCTGGAGTGCAGTGACACAATCATGGCTGATTGCAACCTCTGCTTCCCAGGCTCAAGTGGTCCTCTCACCTCAGCCTCCCAAGTAGCTGGGACCACAAGCGTGAGCCACCACACCCAGCTAATTTTTGTGTTTTTCATAGAGCCAGGGTTTCACCACGTTGCCCAGGCTGGTCTCAAACTCCTGGGCATAAGCAATCTGCCTGTCTTGGCCTCCCAAAGTGCTGGGAGTAAAGGTATGAGCCACCACGCCAGGCCAAGGCTTCATCTTTGAAGCAGAAAGCAGCTCTCACCAGACAGCCAAACCTGCTGGTACCTTAATCTTGAACTTCCCAGACTCCAGAACTATGAGAAAACAAATTTCAGTCTTTTATAAATTATTCAGTCTCAGATATTTTGTTACAGCAGCACAGAACAAGTCTTTTCTGAACGTATGCTTTCATTTTTCTTGGTAAATACCTAGAAGTAGAATAGCAGGCTTATATGGTAGATGCACATTTAGTTTAATAAGAAATTACTCACTGTTTTCCTAAGTTTTACCATTTTATAATCCTGCCAGCAATTTCTCAAAGTTCCAGTTGTTCCACATTTTCCCTTGCAATTGATTCTTTAATTTTGTCATTCTAACCAGTGTATAGTGGTATCTCCTCTGGCTTTAATTTGCATTTCTCTGATGATAAATAATGTTAAGTACTTTTTCATGTATTTATTTGCCATTCCAATAGATTCCTTTATGAAGTTTCTGTTTAATTATTTATTCTACTTTCTAATTAGTTTTTTTTTTAATTGTTGAGCTTTAGGAGGGTTGTTTTTTTTTCATATTCTAGTTACAAGTTACCTCTCCCCTTCCCCAAATAAAATATTTTCTGTCATATGTAGCTTGGCTATTTGTTTTCTGAGTGAAGTCTTCTGATGAACAGAAGTTTTGGTTTCCTAGGGCTGCTGTAACAAATTACCACACACTTAGTAGCGTAAAACAACAGAAATTTATTCTCTCACGCAAGGCCAGAAGTATGAAATCAAGGTGTTTGCAAGGCTTCCTCTGAGGAGTCCTTTCTTGCCTCTTCCTAGCTTCTGCTGGCTCCTGGTAATTCTTGGCACTCCTTGGTTTATAACTGCATCATCTCAATTCTTGCCTCCATCTGCACGTGGGCCTCTTCCCTCTGTGTGCGTGTCTGTCTCTGTGTGTCTGTTTGTTCATATGGCCTTCTTGAAAAAAAAAAAGTCATTGAATTTAGGGCCCACCCTAATCCAGTATGATCTCATCTTGTTAATTGCAAATAAGGTCACATTCTGAAGTTCCAGTGGGCATGAATTTTTGGGGGGACACAGTTTAACCCAGAACACTTATTTATTTTCTTAATGAAGTCTTTTGATGAAGAGAAGTTTTCCATTTTGATGAAATACAGTTTATCTATTTTTAATTTTGTAGCTGCTTCTTTCTGTGCTCTAACAAATCTTTGGCTATACCAAGTTCTCAGAGATATTCTCCTGTGCTTTCTTCTAGAAGTTTTTCGATTCTACCTTTTATATTGAGATTTATAATACATTTTGAATTGATTTTTGTTTTTGTGGTATGAGATGAAATCCAAGGATGATTTTTTTCTATATGTATATCCAGTTGTTCCAGTATGGTTTATTGAAAACAATGTCCTTTCCCCATTGAATTTATTTGGTAGTTTGTCAAAATCTATTGAACACGTAAATATGTCTCTGTTCCTAGACTCTCTAAGCTATTCCAATACCACACTATCCTGGTTATTATGAACTTATAATAAATCTTGAAATCAGGTAGTGTAAGGCCTTCAACTTCCCTTACTTCCTTCTTCCCTTCCCTTTCGTCTCTTCCTTCTTTCCCTTTCCTTCCTTCCTTCCTTCCTTCCTTCCTCCCTCCCTCCCTCCCTCCCTCCCTTCCGTCCTTACTTGCTTTCTTCTTTCCTTTCATTAATCACTTTCAAAGTTGTTTTGGCTATTGTAAGCCCTTTGCATTCTATTTAATTTTGTTATCTTCCTTTGAAGAATACTGTTTTCTTTTTCTTTTTTATTTTCTGTCAGGCAGCCATTTTACTGGAAGATTATCCTTATTCTCTTCAGGCTTGGTTTAGGATGTGTTAAGGTGGCTAGAGGAGCTAGAGCAACTCCACTCCTAAGGCATGATCTTTCTGGGAGTGAATTCTCTGGGTGTTCAGAGAGATTGCTCCACTCTGGATGGTCGTAATCCAGTGTCTCCCAGCACTGTGTGAGCCCTGGAATCTCTGTTCAGCTTATAGCCCAGGAGATGTTTACTGCCAGTCAAGTAGAGTCTTGCACTACACATATACACCTTAGCCATTGGCCACATTTGAGAAATTTATAGAGTTCTTGGGGAACCCTATGCAAGATTCCTAGAGCTCTTCGTCTACACATTTTTCTTCTGCTTCTCTGTGGCTTCTAGTTTGAAAAGTGTCCCTAGGTAGAAAGCCAGAGTTCTTTCAAGGATCATAGCTATGTGATTGTTTCCCAATGCCTAAAAATAGTTACTTTCCATATCTTGCATAGCTTTATAGTTTCATATAGTGGAAGGTAAGTCTGATAGCCATTAATTCATTATGTCTGGGACAGGGAGCCTATGCTGTCCCTTTGTGAGGAAATATGTAAATAGGATTGCCAGTTAGTTAGATTCTTGAAAGCATGTGATATTTAAGGATTTAATCTATAGAAAGTTGATTATGTGATTTAGAAGTAAGGCATGTGAAAAGGACCATGGGGTACACTTAAAGAAGCTCAATTGCTTCTGATAATCAGGGAGGTCGAAGCAATTTTGAAATGCCATACTACATAGCCTGCCAATTTCTGTTCTTTTCTATCTATTGTACTTTTAACTAAAAGGTTTCTGAGATATTGCCGAGTGTACAAGGTGTGCATCAGTCTACTGAGTTTTAAACTGTTGAATTTTTATAAAATTATTATAGTTTTCCTCAGTAGGTCATTATGCCAGGCAACAAAGAACACTATTTCCAGAATATTAAAAATACCAAATATAAGGGTCTATCTGCCACAGTGTTCTACAAAACTACTTGTTATCGCCTCAAATTTACACACATAAACAACTACCATAGGAAAACATTTTCAGCATTTTAAAAGACATCACTTCTCCATGTATTTGACCTATTTCTACCTTAGGAAAAAAAGAAAGAAAATGAATTGCAACATGTCCTGTAGCACTTTTGATTTACTCATAATACAATTTGTTTTAAGCTATAGATATATAGCCAAAAATGGTTGAAATTTCTGTGGTTAGGAAATGCCTATGTTTCTTTGCTTACTCTGGGTTTGTTAAGAACCAATCAATACAGCATATATTATGGCTTTTTTTTTTTTTTGAGACGGAGTCTCGCTCTGTCGCCCAGGCTGGAGTGCAGTGGCGCATCTCTGCTCACTGCAAGCTCCGCCTCCCGGGTTCTCACCATTCTCCTGCCTCAGCCTCCCGAGTAGCTGGCACTACAGGCGCCCACCACCACGCCTGGCTAATTTTTTGTAATTTTTTTTGAAAGGAAAAAAGAGCCTTGCTTGGGAAAGTACAAATAAACTTCAAAGCAACACATATGCATTTTGTACCTCCTCTCAGCCAGTGTGGAATTTAACTTTTTGGTTATAGTGGCCCTTTAGAAAGGGAAAGTGAGAAAATATAGTGAGAGAGATTGACATGAAATCGAGTAAATAACTTGCAATACATTAAACTTGTAGAGACAGCTCTCAATATACTGACACTCTGAGGAATAAATCACCAACTCTATCAACTTGTTGGGGTCTTTAGGACTGCCTCCTCAATCAAGCAAGGTGTTTGACTGAGCTGGAACTTGGAAAGCATTTAGGTTTTGACAGGCCAATGAGATAAGGGAGGACATTGCAGGCAAAAGCACAGCATCTGCAAAAATATGGGGAGTTCAAGAACTTGATGCATTTGGAGGCTTGCGAGTGGTTTGGTGTAGGTAGAATGCAGCACACATGTGGGAGAGTGGCCCGGGATGAGGTTGAAAGGGTAGTAACAATTAGATAACAATGAATTCTGAGAATCAGAATGAAAACCTGACCTGAGGCATGTGTCTGGCAAGTTGTGACATTGGTCATGGGAAGAACTGAGAAAGCCTGGGCAAAGCAGTGTAACTAAGCCCAACTGATAGAAAAACAATCCAAAGCTGTGTTCCCAGATGGCAGAAAATAGTGTTATCATGGGTGTGAAGAACAGCATTCTTATGGTCTTTTTCAGTGGACTCATTACAAAAACTTTATGATCATCGCCTTGACGGCAAACTTGAAGGAATGATAGCCCTCAAGCGAACACTTCACTAAGTTGTTTCAGAAATTAGAAAAAAAATTCTAAAAGACAAAAAATATTGGAATTAGATAATGACATCACATTTCATATTAGTATTTCTGCATAAAACTGAGAGCCCTTTTTGGAAAGCATTTTTGTTATTCTTAGGATAGTGCAAAATTTTCCTGGCTTTATACACAAATGCTCATATTCTTAATTAATATTAATGAAGATAAATCTTATGGATGTTTAAACCATTGATCTGGGTCATTGTTACAAATAATTCTTTTTTAATGTGTTCTATTGTATATCATTAGTATATACAGGTCATTTTTGTTTCTTCCAATATAGTCTTGTTTTTATTTATCGCCATTATTTTAAGCAGCATGAAGATATAAATATAGACTGATTTTCCTGATAATGACTATAATGCCTTAATTTTCTTTATAATTTTTCTTTGCGGTTGCCAAGGTTACCAGGGGTCACATAAATATTCTGTAGAAGCATAATTAGTACAATGGCACATAACAGTCTTTCACAGATAGTATACAGGAATGATAGAATTTTAAAGATCATATGAGAACAGGAATGGTGTAATATAAATTCACACGTGTGGCACAGATTGAAGCGTGCGCGGGGAGGTGTGGGAGTTGCACAAAATTAAACCCCCTCATTACACCATGTAAATTGCCATCTTGCAGTTATCAGGTCCTCCTCCTTCTCAGATGCTGAAGCTAGGCTTCTAGACCAGCAGAAGAAAATGTTGTAGTTCAATGTATTCTCACTTAGCTGATGAACTCACTTACAGTTGTGGCTATTAAAAGCTGATGGTCTGCATATTGAAATGACTGTTTATATCCATTTATCTTAAAGAAGTGTTCTACACTTCCCATGACTTTTCTGTACTCATAATATAATAAAAATGTCAGTATTCTAGTTCTGCTAGAAGAGCTGTAGACATGTCTGGTTATCTGGCATTGAGGGCTGGGCTATTTATCCACATTGTAATAATACACCAATTTGAATACAAATTATCAAAATGTGTGTGTGCTTCTATACATGTGTGAGAGATATGTTAATCCAGCATTTATTATGTTTCAAGCACTGTTCTAGGTGGTTTATATATATTAGTCCTGACCATGAACCTGTGTACTATTATTATTGTTCCCATTTTACAGATGGGAACCAAAGTAACCAGGGCCCAGTGAGGTTAAATAACTTGTTTAAACTAGAAAATGATGGAACTGGCATCAAAATGTAGTATACACTGACTCTAGAATGTACACAATTATTAAGAAATGATGATTTCAAATGTAGGTAATTTGTGTGGCAAGGGACTGATACAATTTGTACATTACCTAAGTAATTCATATTGACATTCTTACCTTTCAAAGCATCCTCTGTTGACATAATTTCAGACACCTTTTTGTGCACTGGGGAACACCATGGTACCAAATTTTGTTACCATATTTCTCATTGGGGTTTATTACCTTTAATAATGGATATTTTCATGATGCATCTTCTAAATACTAAGAGACAGCTAGGATTTGAAATTAAACCCCCTAGACTTCAGTTTCTAGATAAATTTTAAAAGTGAGAAAGGTAAACTCTATGGATTGTGGTTTGCTGATGTTGTTATTAGAGTCCATTCTTCCATGAAGTGCTTTGGCAACATTACAATCAAGGATTCCCCCGTGCAGGTTTCACAAAGGCCATAGTTCACATCTTTAGAAACTATTCTGCGGCGATTTGTACTTCTACTTTAAGATGATTTTAGGGTATTATAATAAAACTGGCACAGTGTAAGTCTTTAATGCCACATAAAAATCAGAATTGATTTAATGTAGAAATTAAAGCTATTTTTTAATTCAGTAAGGTACATTGCTTTTACCAAAAATGGGATAGAAAAGTCAAGGCCTTAGCAATCAGAAAACCAAATGTAGTTCTGAGTCCTGCAAAAGTATTTGGAAAAGGATCTGGCAGATATGAATCAACTTAAGAAAAAAAAAAAACTTTCTTTGAATTCTTCTATAGTGTTTGGTTTCAAAGGTAGCTATTGAGATCTACAGCTATGGTGATAATCAGATGAGATTATACAGAAAGCATGCAGCATTGTGCCTGGCTCATAGTAAGCAGTAACTAAGTGCTACCTGTCATACGCTCATCTGGCCATTGTAGTGTAGAGGTTAAGAGCAAAGTCTCTGGAGTAGACTACCTGGGCTCAAGTCCTAGTTCTACCACTTATCAGCGGAAAACCTAATCAGTGGTTCTCAACCTGCCGGCAGTTTTGTCCCCCAGGGAATGTTTGGCATTGTCTGGAGACATTTTAGATTGCCACGATTAGGGATGAGGTTCCCCTGGAGGACATAGGTGCTGCTAAACATCACGTGATATACACAGAAGCTCCCCACAACAAAGAATAATGTGGTCCAATATGTGAATATTGCAGAGATTGAGAAACTCTGACCTAGAACAAATAACTTACTCTTTCTGCAAAATAAGGACACTAATAGTACCAACATAGTGAATTCAAAAAAGGCACTTAGGAAAGTGCCTCACATAGTAAGCAGTCAGTAAATAGTAGCTCTTGTTATTCATTCAACAAGTATTGATAAAATGCTCACTATGTGCCAGGCACTCTCCTAGATATTAAGCATCCAGTGGATGCCAAATAGGCCTGGCCCCTAACCTTGAGGATCTTGCTGTTTATGACGGTAGTGGTCGCTGTGAGGTGACGTCTGCTTCCTAGGGACAGCAGCATCTATCACTGTTAGGGCTACCTCATGCTCTCTATGCCCGCCTCCTCTCAAAATACAATGCTCCTTCTTCATCTCTTTTTAAAAATCTCTCTTCTAGACCTAGAAGAATCTATAGTTATATTTCAAAAGAACATAATTAATCCCATATTTCCCAAAACACTCATCTAAACTTCGGCATTGTAGACCCCTCACTCTGTTCTATGAGCAGATATTGCTAATCTCTCCAAGCATACTTTGAATTTGAGGAAGTTTCATTCATGCCAATGGCTCTCCAGTTAGAGATTTTTCTTTGCCTTAGGACTTTCTCTCTTCCTTCCTCTGACTATGGAAATCCTAGTTTTTCTCTATCAGGGCTGGGATCCCTGAGTTTCTTCTGTAGCCTCCTCCCTTTATTCCTTCAGAATTTCAGGTTCCTGTTCTTGCTTATATAGCCTAATATGGCCCAGGGAGGGAAAGTCTCTATTTCTTTTGCAGGTGCTTTTTACTGAGGAAACATTCTTGGGGTTCTACGTGGGAAGTTTGAGTGTGGTTTCACCTGGAGGCCAAGCTATAAATGGTGGCCTATGTCAGCAGTTCTAGGCTTGGGTAACTGTGTGCCAACAATTCCCAGTTCCGGAGCCAGTTCTGACAAGGACAGAGAATAGATTGGGATCTCACCCGCCTAGTGTGGGAATAGAATTGGAATTCACTGTGCTAATGACTGGTTCCTGGTGTTCCTAAGAAAAGCCCCGTGCTGTTACATGCTGACTGAGTCATAGCTTTTCTGTGTGTTCCAATCTGTTGGCCCAGTTCTTCTGCTTTAGTTTCCTCTCAGCCTTGCAATTCTCTGAGTAACACAGTGTCTCTCTGAAAAGGCTGATCACAGAACTATGATCTGTTCCTAACCACCTGTCTAGACTCCTTCCACCCCCCTCTCCCTTTCTCCCACATACCTTATGCCCTAGCAGTGTATAAAATACTGGTAGGTTGATGAATATGCCATACTTCGTTGTTCCTGCATGCTTTGTACATATTCTTCCTCTGCCTGGATTTTTCAGCTTGAGCAGGTCTGAGTTCACATTTACTTCTTTCACTGTTAGACACTGAATGTCTGGCTTCCTTTGTCAGTATCTAGCTTACAGCTTGCATCCCTCTGTCTCATCTTGGCTTCCGCATTTCTCCTCTGCCCACCAAAGTGTCAGGTGTTGCCAAGTTTACCCTGTTGGATTAGTGAAACCAGGATGTACTGAATTGAAATCAGTCACAGCATGATCCAGTAAATTGAATCTTCAGAGGACCTAACCATTATATACAATACTGCCTCTGTGTAAACATTAGGACAAGATCCTAAAAATAGATCAACCAGTGATGTTTTAGAACACAGCCACATTTATGAGTTGTAGATTGACCAGAGTAAGAATGCGTGTGTTGGCCCTGAGCGGCTGCAGCCTGCTTTGGGACGATGGTCAGGTCCCATGTCCCTGCTGCCTCTCTCTGGAGTGGACACTTGGCCAAAGCTCCCATCCACATCTGGAAAGTCTGAGCCGCAGCCTGCTGCACCGTTTCTGCTCTGGGATCTTGTGAGTTACTTTTTTAGGCTGTGGTTTGGTGAAAGGAACCAACACATTAATGATTTTTCCCCCCAGAAGCCACTGAATAATTCTTTTTGGTGTATTTCTGCCTTCCTGTTGGCTGTCTGGCCTTGGAGCACGTCGGGCGAGTGGAGTACATAATCAGTACCACACAGAGGCAGGGCGTGTCTGAGAGACTAATGACTGTCCTGCCTCTGGCCTGTGTCCTGGGTGTGTACGGTACCTGCCGGGCCAGTCCCACCCATTTCCACCCTGCCCCTGGAGCAGCAGCTTTGATACCATGGGTGTCCCTTGAGTCTGAGCTAGAGTGTGTCCCCGATAAACTGTGAGACCTCCCTGTTCTTGGTGACCCCAATTGGGCTTTGGCCCCTCCAGCAACCTTGTGTCCCAGCCCTGCCCTTCTTCCCACCCCCTCAATCTGCTAGTCCCTGAAGCCTTTAACCAAACGGGAGTGGGCACAGAAAGCCTTCTCCTGGCAACACGACAAGGACTGCCCGCGTGTCCAGCCCTGTTGCTCTCCTGGCGCTGAGAGGTGGGTCCAAGCAGAGTTGATCAGTCCCTGCCTGCCCTGACTGGGTCTAGCCAGGGGAGGTTGTGTGTGTGGGAGAAGACCCCGGGATCTGCTGGGGTGGGATGGAGGTTATTAAAGGTCTAAGTGAGGAGGGGCTGGGGTTTGGATGCGGGGTGAGGCCCGAGCGCTCACACTTCGAGTAGGGCAGGCAGGGGCCTGACCTCTTGCAGGGCAGTGGCCTTAGTGCCCCACCCCTGCCCTGCGCAGTATTTATTGCTAAATTGTTGTCCAGGAGGGGCAGCACTGGGCCTGGCCCCCTGGGTATTTGTTGCTGTACATAGCGTATGTTTGTGATATATAAGGTTTTCTTTATTTTGTACATGATCAATAAACCTTTTAAAGAGACAAAAAAAAAAAAAAAAAGAATGCGTGTGTCTGTGTAGGTATACATGCAAATATAACTAGAAATGTATATATACACATTTTTATAATTGTATTTATATCTTTACTATATTTATATTTTATGAAACAAGAGAAAAGAGTGACATAAATGCTACAAATAAGAAATTGTGAGAAAAACAAAATTAGAGTATGTGTTTAGTGAATGAGATTGTACAGATATGAGAGAGAAGGAATGAAAATGAGGGAGTATGTGAATGAGTCATTGGATGTTAGTGTTTAAATAGGAAATATATTATTGATGTTTGGGCCTAATTTCCTAAATTAGAAATGGAAATTATTGTATCTTTTACATATCTGTATGTAATTCAGAAATACATCTATCTAAGTGTGGTATTGAGGTGGAAATGCCCATATTATCATCCAAATGCCAGAAAGAAAATTTTATGGAAGTGAAATATAAACCAAAGGGGAAGAAATACGTAACTTAGACTAGCATTCAGATTGGAAATGCTGGGATGGAAGAAAGCAGCTTGTTTTAAACTCCACTCCGATACTTTCGTTTCAATAGGATTTTAAATCCTAACAACTTTCCTAGCCTGGACTAATGAGATAGTTGGACCGACCTGGTAATTAGTATGGACTGTGCCTCCCAGGACCTCCCATAAACCTTTGTACAGCATAAATTGTGTCTGTGTGTGAGATTATCAGGTATTACCTAGAGCTGTACCGCGAGTCCAAGGTTGTAAACCTTGCTTCAGTGGAGAATTAGGAGGGAAGGGGAGTAACTTATTCTTACACAGCAAGATAGGCACATTGTTTTGTCTTCCAAGCCTTGGAAAAGAAAATTCATTGAATTTCATTCAACAAATTTTTATTGAACCCTTCTCTCTGTCTTGGGCTATAATTGCTGGTAGTTATTGGGGTAGAAGAGAGGTATAGTACACAGTTTTGTCCTTAAGGAGATTAAAATCAGTCTTTCTGAGGATGTAAGACTGGCATATAAAGCAATTAGGCAAGAAACAGAGAAAACTATAAGGCAGCACAAAGTAGTACACTGAAAAATAATGAAAATGTGTAGTAAAGCTATCAGAGCTGTGGACTATCATGAAAGGGAGAGAACTGTCAAGAAGATGGGATATGAGATGTCAAATTTTTATTGCAGTATAATTCCTGTATGATTTTGATGCCCAGTTCTCCTCTGTTTTAAAGCATAAAATATAGTGAAGAAATTTTCTATAGACCACTTTGTAGAACACCCAGGTTTTGCTTGAATTTTAAAAAAGGAATGTTATACAACAAAAGAAAACAAAAAGCAAAACATTTATTTGTTAAGTGTTCTGAACGTTCTGTGTAGGCCAACTCACAACTACCCCCAAAACTGGTGGTGGAATTGGGAAAAAGTAAGTGTGAAGCTTACATTTAGCTCTGGAAGGTGTTTCTGGGCATTCAGTTAGTAATTATTTTCTCTGATAATCTAGAAATTTATAACATTGCTAAGAAAATACTCAAACCACACTATTACCATTGTACCTGTCAGAAATTTAGGTCCTCCGTTATTCCTTTTTCTAGGGAGATGTTAATCTTAGAATGCTAGAAAGGACTAAGTTCTTTTCATAGAGCTACAGTCCTCATGCAGACCTGCCAGTTCATAATTTCCAAAGGGAAAGGAGAGTCTTTTGGTCTTAATATGTAACAATATAAAGCACTATTTTAAATGTTTTTGTATGTGTTCTAGTTTTGTTCATTGTGGTTGTTATCTACTCTACCTTTAAATCATAATATTAAAATAGGTGGCAATGCCAAGAAATGTTGAGGACAAAACGAATCTGTAACTTTTACTTAGTTACTTGGGCAGACAATATGCTCTTTGTTATGAAAAGGCGTGGAAGTAGGTGGCAAAGTCATGAATGAACAAGACGGTCAGCTATACTTATTGATTGTTTTCTGCATGCAGATCACTGTGCTAAAAAGGAGAATTACAGAATTGATCCCTACACCTGGAAAGCATATCACACAATGAGAGAAGAAAGGATGCACACCAAAATATGCATATCAACACCAGTGATGAAAACTAGTTAATAGGCATTTTCACTTCCTGTCTTTTCCACTTTCATGACATCTAGTACTTGCTTTAACTAAGCCTCTTATCACATTGTTTTGGTCTTCCATTCTAGACATAATCAACTAAAGACATAAAGAATTTCTTTTTATCTTTGGGAAATTATATCCATATCTGTTGATTCCAGGGGTTGGTTAAAACTGTGGCCCCAAAGGCCAATTTTGGGGCTCATTCTTATATGGCCCCTTGAGCTAAGACTGGTTTTTACATTTTTAAATGCTTGTAGAAAAGAAAAAAAGCAATATGGAATAGAGGTGTATGTGGCCTGAAAAGACTAAAATTTTTACTCTCTGTTTTTATACAGAAAAAAATTCTTATCCTCATTTTACAGAATGAGACCCACGGGGAACATTTGAACGAGTCATAGGAAGCTTGGGGAGATGGATTACTTAGGGAATAGGCTAAGTTCCTGTAACAAAGAGACCCAAAATGCAGTGCTCAAATAAGAAAGAAGATTATTTCTTTTTTATATAACAATCTAGAGGCAGGCAGGTGGTTCCGGGCTGATGCACAGTCCTGCCACCTGAAATTACTCACGGACACAGTTTTTGTCTGTCTTCTAACTCCACACTGCCATTTTCCTCATGGAGGACATTCCAGTCTGAAAGAAAAGAAGAGTGGGGACAATCAGTTCCTTTTTAATAATAAAATATGGATCATAACGCCTGTCACTTCTGCTCACATCCCAGTGGCGAGGATTTACATCACCTGTTCACTTTAGCTGAAAAGGATATAGGGGAATGAAGTTTCTATCTGGGAAACCATGTGTGCCCTGATAAAAGTAGAGAGTTTTATGACTTAGAAGAGGAAGAGAGTTATTGCTATTGGAGGACAGTTAGCAATCTGCCACAGAGAGGTAAACAGTTCATGGTACTGGATTATTCCTGATCTTCATTGCAGAATTCTCAACATGATCATTATGTAATATATACTGAATATTTACTATATACTCAGTATATATTTGTTGAACTCATTAAAGTGAGCAGAAAACTGGAAGCAATACTTAGTCTAGGAATGGTCACTTAGGGAGTAATCTGTTCGTGAAATGGGAAAGACACAAGCATGGTGGGGTCAGATGTGTGGCTCCTGGGAATGGTTAAATTAGCGCTAGAGATTATAGAGCTCCCAGTAAGGTAAAGTACAGAGATTAGTTTAGACAGTAAGTGAATCTTCTGTATTTTATACAGGGGTAATATTGGTATTTAAATAGTGAGTTTAATTTAAAGAAAACTCACAATGGTGGGAAAAACTTCAAGAGGGTGGTAAGATGGGGCTGGTGGTGGGTTGTGAGTATAAGCAGGAGTTGGGTGTGGTGTCCAATGTGGTAAATGGGGCAAGTCCAGTCCCCCCACAGATTAAAGTCATGCAGGCAGCATGTGATAGATCTAGAATTCTGACACTTTTAAAGCAAAATTCATGAATTCCTGAGGGACAACAGAGAGAGAGGGAGAGAATGAGATTTGGCAAGATCCTGACAGAATATCAAAGCCTCAACCAAGCAGATGGGTGTGCAGGGCAGAGTGTAGAGTTCCAGGCTGGGAAACTGAAGCAGAAGCTCAACTTTGTAGACTGGGCCAACATGATGGGGCTGGGAAATGATTTATTTTAGAGGCTGCACACATTCCCAGAGCTCTTTTTTTGTAAAATCTCTGAGCAGCAAGACTTGTGATTTTCTGGCATCATGATCATAACAGGCTCAGAAACCGGGAGATGGCAGATTTGGGGCCTGTGGAAACAAGGACAGGGACTGACATGAAGGCTGGTGTCTGAAACTCTGGTTTGAAAAGTTGATTACAATGTGCCCCATGCCCTGTGGTACTTTATAATGCTGTTTTCTTTCTTGCAGTGAAAATACTCATAGAAAAAAATGTAGCTCAATTTTGATAGGGTGATTAATCATGATAACTGATATTTTGGTGTCTTGTTATTCTGAAATAATTTGATTATTATAATTAAAGAAGGATAAAAACAGAACAAACTCCCCAAATTGATGTTTCAGGTCAAATTAGCCTATTAGGTAGAAGATGAAATTGTGCATTTCAGTACTTCAGCTCTGCATAATTGATGGGACACCATGTACTATCTCTTTGGCTATTCAGCAACAATTCTGTTAGAATCTGCTTGTGGAGTCTGAGGTTGCACTATTCATAACTTTCAGATTTTATAGATGTAAAAATATTTTATATGTCATTATTTTTTAATCCTTCTAATTAATATGTATGAATAAAATGTTAAGGATATATAATAGAAATCTTACCTTCATCTTGTTTTCTTCTTTTTATGCTAATCATTTTACTAGAGCCATGTCAAAACAGTAACACATACGTGGTTAGAATAATAACCAGTTTTTTGAAAGAACATTTTTTTCCTATTAGGGACTATATGAATATTTGATCAGATCTCAAAGAAAATAAAAGAAAGCCTTGTGATTCAGCTTTCATTTTAGAAACTTTAACTTATAAACATTTCTCTTTTGCACTTAATGGTTACTATCTTAATAGATGAACACTTTGCAAACGCTAAGTATATGTGTGTTTAAGAAATAACCAGGTACTATCTATGGGGTAATTTTAAAATGAGAAAAATTACCTAATTATTAAATATATAAACTTTAATGCTAAGGAGAATACTTTGTTAATTTAAGCACTACTTCATACAGTAATGACTGGTGTCAGTATACGAAGGTGCAGTTGAAACTTTTCATGTACTCTTAAAGATAAGACCAGTGAAAGCTCAAGGTTTTTTCTTTTCTTTAAAGAAATTCAAACATTTCATTTGTTCAAGTTTCAGTAGCTTTCATCAAGGCAGATACATATTCTATAAATTATGATGGTTCATGTTCATGAATTTAATGATTCTTGGGAATTTAAGACATGGGTTAATGATATTAGCTGAAAAATTGCAGGCATTCAGTTTGGGTTCAATTTGATATAACATTTTGGATTGGTTTAAATAAAAGTCTAGCAAATTACTGATTCTTAAATTTGCTACATGTGTTAAAAGGATTTTGTTGAGACTGCTATTTATAGGTATTGAGTCGGGATCAACAGTGGAAGGCAGTCAGGCTATTAAAGTTGTGAATGACATCATCATCATCATCTTCATCTTCATCAACATCACTTATCATCATTCTTCTTATTTGCTTAATGTTTCTGCCTTATTTGATCTTTTTTGAATATGTGATCTTATTCTTGAGCAGTACTGCAGTTAGAGGAAGAGATGATAAAGAGAAAGGCTATTTGGACTGGTTTACCTACTCAGTTTTGCTGGCATCAAAACAGCTGGTAACTTGGCTGATGAGGTTCTGAGGGACTGCTTCACACTAGCCAAAAGTATTAATCTGATTATAAACTCAAGTGCCAATTTTAATTTTAATCTAAAATGAGAATTATAGCAGTGAACTAAATCAGAATACTTATTGTGGTTGATCATTACTACTGTCTCTGGAGGAAAATACACTCTAGAAGCCAAATTATTATCAGAATTTTGCTTGCTAGCATGGAATGAAAACAAATGAAATAGAATAGTCTTCAGAACTTGTATTTGTTATAGATAAATCTTAATACTTTAATTTTAAGTTCCAAATCATAGAGACATTATATTATTTGTAGCCCCCACCCCCATATCCTGACTTTTATTAATGAAAATTCCAACATGCACTTCAAATGATTTGCTTAAGGTCAACCATTACAGTTGTTGGTTCTGGGAATAGAACCTGCTATTTCTTTTTGTTTGATTAGTTGATTAATGCTTATACTTCTGATTTCTGATTATATTAATGTATGTATACTTTTATGTGGTTGAATATTCACAACATTAAGCCAACACACATTTTGTTAATGATACATGAAGAAATGTATATGTTTATTATGCATTGAATCAAATTGTAATTAGCTGTAGATTCGAAAGAAATTTTTGAAGGTGTTTGGGGGTTTAATTGGAGTAAGAAGGTAGAAGGGGAATTTCCAAGTTGGTTTTCTAAGAGTATGTTTTTGTTCTCTCCTAAACCAGTAATGTAAAGGGCATATAAATGTGTTAAGGGAGAGGAAGTGGCATCATTAAATGTGGGTTTGGGTGCAGAATGAGAGAAAACATTTGCAAACTACCCATCTGACAGGGGAATAATAACCAGAATACGTAAGGAGCTCAAACAACTCTATAGGAAAAACAATCTAATAACTTGGTTTAAAAAAATGGACAAAAGATCTGAATAGACATTTCTCAGAAGAAGTCATACAAATGGCAAACAGCTATATGAAAAAGTGCTCAACATCATTGATCATCAGAGAACTGCAAATCAAAACTACAATGAGATACCATCTCACCCCAGTCAAAATGGCTTTTATCCAAAAGACAGGCAATAACAAATGCTAGAAAGAATGTAGAGAAAAGGGAACCCGCATATACTGTTAGTGGGAATGCAAATTAGTACATCCACTATGGAGAATGGTTTGGAGGTTCCTCAGAAAACTAAAATAGAGCTACTATAACATCTAGCAATCCCACTCCCAGGTATATACCCAAAAGAAAGGAAGTCAGTATATCAAAGAGATAGCTGCACTCCCATATTTATTGCAGCACTAGTCACAATAGCCAAGATTTGAAAGCAACCAAAATGTCCACCAACAGATAGATAATGAAAATATGGTACTTACACACGATGAGTACCATTCAGTCATAAGAATGAGATCCAGCTATTTGCAACATGGGTGGAACTGGAGGTGTTTATGTTAAGTGAAAGAAGTCAGGCACAGAAAGACAAACTTTGCATCTTCTCACTTATTTGTGGGAGCTAAAAATTAAAATAATTGAACTCATGGAGATAGAGAGTAGAAGGATGCTTACCAGAGGCTGGGAAGGATTGTTGGGTGGGGGCCAGTGATAAGGAATTGGGGATGCTTAATGGGTACAAAAAAAAAAAAAAAAACAGTTAGAAGAAGACCAGAAGACCTAGAATTTGCTAGCACAACAGAGTGACTATAGTAAAAAATAATTTAATTGTACATTTAAAAATAACTAAAAGAGTATAATGGGGTTGTTTATAACACAAAGGATAAGTGCTTGAGGTGATGGATACCCCATTTACCCTGATGTGATTACCTCAATATCATCGCATGCCTATATCAAAATATCTCATGTAACTCATAAATATATATACCTACCTTGGATCCACATAATTTTTTTAAAAAAAGTTACAAAATTGTGGGTTTGTGGGGAACTCATACGTTTCACTCAGTAATTTTTAAAGCAGAATTATTTTAAAATTGTCTTTTAAAAAAGCCTTCTGTTTTGCAATTTAGTGCAGTTTACTCTCTATAGTTTATGTTGCAGTATCTAGATGACAGGAGATTGTATGATATAAATAATTTTCTATATTTGAAACACCTAATGATTCTAAGATCAAGTGCAATTTATTTATTTATCTTCAGAATATACTTTTATAAAGGTTAATTTAAAATAAGGGTTTATCCGCCCCTGGAGTGTGCATCACTGTAGTGTTGGTAGGACACTGTTGTGTAAAATAGGAAGCACATTGGCCTGGGTTAGGATCCTGGCTCTGCCACTTGAATTTGGTGGGTTCATCCCTATATACTGCTGTAATTGCTTTTGTAAGTTCATAGAAACGACCTGTGATTTTGAGCCACTTTTGATGATGACCCAAGTGTCTTGGCTTCTCTGTGGTTCCATTTTTCTCATCAGCAATTTCTATTATTATAGAGCTAACAATCCTATTTATTCAAAATTGTCATGAGGCTTAAATGAGATTGTTCACCTTTAAAGACTTCGGAAACTTTGTATATAGTAGTGTTAATCAAATTTTAATGGCTTTTAAAATTGTTACCATTTTGTCTTATAAGTTTGCATTATAAAAGCATGAGCATATTGAAGGAAGAGTAAGAGCAATGGAGAGTAACTATCATAATAGTTTTAACTCAATATATTTCTAACCTGAATTTAGAAGACAATAACATTTGATAGTTAAGTACTGAAAAAAAATGATAATCTCATGAGTTTTGAAATATTTTAAGTCAACCATTCTATGTCTGAAATTAGACAGTTTTTATAATAGAATTTATACATTGTATTTTTATTAGTCTGGTTATATGGGGGTTTCTACACACTGCAGTGGGCAGAAACTCATTTAATTCATGATGGCAGTTGTAGTGATACTTTTTAATTTCAAAAGAAAACAATGATGCTTACCTATTTCTTTTGTTATTGGAAGATGGACAAATTCCTTCTCTTTTACTACTAACACACAAATTTTCTTTTCTTTTTCTTTCTTTTATTTTTTTTTGACGGAGTTTCACTCTTGTTGCCCAGACTGGAGTGCAATGGCGCGATCTCGGCTCACTGCAACCTCCGCCTCCCAGGTTCAAGCAATTCTCCTGCTTCAGCCTCCAGAGTAGCTGGGATTACAGGCAGGCACCACCACGCTGGGCTAATTTTGTATTTTTGGTAAAGACGGGGTTTCTCCATGTTGAGGCTGGTCTCGAAATCCTGACCTCAGGTGATCCACTCGCCTCGGCCTCCCAAAGTGCTGGGATTACAGGCATGAGTCACCGGGCCCGGCCTAACACACAGAAAATATTTAAAGGGTTTACTTACACTAACAATGAACTATCTCAAAAAGAAATGAATAGGCTGGGTGCGGTGGCTCATGCCTGTAATCCCAGCACTTTGGGAGGCCGAGGCAGTCGGATCACCTGAGGTCAAGAGATCGAGACCATCTTTGCTAACATGGTGAAAACTCGTCTCTACTAAAAATACAAAAATTAGCTGGGCATGGTGGCACGCACCTGTAGCTCCAGCTATTGGGGAGGCTGAGGCAGGAGAATCTCTTGAACCTGGGAAGCAGAGGTTGCAGTGAGATGAGATTGCACCACTGCACTCCAGCCTGGTGACAGAGCAAGACTCTGTCTCAAAAAAAAAAAAAAAAAAAAAAAGGAAATGAATAAAACAATATGATTTATAATAGCTATAAAAATACGTAGGTGTAAATTAAATCAAGGAGGTGAAAGACCTCTACAATGAAAACTATGAAACACTGATGAAAGAAATTGAAGAAGACACAAATAAATGGAAAGATATCCTGTGTTCATGGATTGGAAGAATTAATGTTATTAAATATCCATACTACCCATAGTTATGTACAGATTCAATGCAATTCCTATTAAAATTTCAATGACATATTCCCACAGAAATAGAAGAAACAATCCTAAAATTTGTATCAAATTACAAAAGACCCCAAATAGCCAAAGCAGTCTTGAGCAAAAAATAACAAAGCCGGAGGCATCACACTACCTGACTTTAGTATATTACACTACAGGCCGGGCACGGTGGCTCACGCCTGTAATCCCAGCATTTTGGGAGGCCGAGATGGGTGGATCACGAGGTCAGGAGATTGAGACCATCCTGGCTAACATGGTGAAACCCCGCCTCTACTAAAAGTATAAAAAATCAGCCAGGCGTTGTGGCGGGTGCCTGTAGTCCCAGCTACTTGGGAGGCTGAGGCAGGAGAATGGCGTGAACCCGGGAGGCGGAGCTTGCGATTAGCCGAGATCATGCCGTTGCACTCCTGCCTGGGCGACAGAGTGAGACTCTGTCTCAAAAAAAAAAAAAAAGTAAATAAAATAAAAATAAATAAATAAATAAATAAATAAATAAATAAATAAATAACACTACAAAACTGTAGAAAACAGCATGGTACTGGCATAAAAACAGACATGTAGACCAATGAAACAGAATAGTTATAGCCCAGAAATAAATCTATACATTTCTAGTCGATTGATTTTCAACAAAAGTGCCAACAGCATACGAGGGGGAAAGGACAGTCTCTTCAATAAATAGTGTTGGGAAAACTGGATATCCACATGCATAAGAATGAAATTAGACCCTTATCTCACACCATATACAGACATCAACTCCAAATGGATTAAAGACTTAACTGTAAGACTACTAGAAGAAAACAGGGGAAAACTTCTTGACATTGGTCTAGGCCATACATTTTTGGTATATGACCCCAAAAACACAGGCAACAAAGGCAAAGAGGCAAATGAGATTGCACCAAACTAAAAAGTTTCTGCACTAAAATGGAAACAATCAATAGAGTGGAGAAACAATGTACAGAATGGAAGAAACATTTGTAAACAGTACATCTGCCAAGGGGTCCATTGTCCAATGTCCACCTAGCACATTGTCTAATATATCCAAAATATATAAGAAATTCGTGCAACTCAATAGCAAGAAAACAAATAACCTGATTAAAAAATGGGCAAAGAACCTAAATAACATTTCTCAAAAGAAGTCATACAGATAGTCAAAATGTATGTGAAAAAATGCTCAACATCACTAATCATCAGGGAAATGCAAATTTAAAAAATTGAGATATCACCTCACACCTGTTAAAATGACTATTATCAAAAAGACCTATGATAACAAGTATTGGCAAGGACGAGGAGAAAAGGGAACCCTTGTGCACTGTTGGTTTGAACGTAAATTGGTACAGCCATTATGAAAAATAGTATAAAGTTTCTCATCAAATAAAAAATAGAACTACTATGTGATCCAGGAATTTCACTTCTGGGTATATATCTAAAGGAAATGAGATCAGTATCTTGAAGAATATTTGTACTCCCATGTTCATAGCAGCATTATTGACACTACCCAAGCTATGGAAATAATTTAAATGTCCACCAGTGGATGAATGAATAAAGAAATATTGGTATATACACACAAAGGAATATCATTCAGCCTTACAAAAAGAAATAAATCATATCTTTTGCAGCAACATGGATAAACTGGAGGACAAACTGCTCAGTGAAATAAGGCAGGCACAGACAGATGAATACCGCATGATCTCATTGTACGTGGAATTTAAAAACATTGAATTCATAGAAGCAGAGAGTAAAATGGTGATTGCTGAGGGCTAGGAGATGGGGAAAATGGGAGATATTAGTGAAAGAGTACAAAGTTTCATTTATGCAGATGATAAGTTCTGGAAATCTAATGTACAGTGTGTGGTGACTATAGTTATTAACACTGTATTGTATACTTGAAATTCAAATGTTCTCACCATACATTAAAAAAATGCCAACTATGTGAGGTGATGGATATGTTAGAAAGCTTGATGGTAGTAATCATTTCACCATAGATATAGATGTCAAAACATCACATTGTACACATTAAATATATACAATTTTAATTTGTCAATTATATCCCATTAAGAAGAGAAATTTGGCCACCAAAAAAAGAAGAAAGGAATTCCAACTTGACTCTGTTTTTCAGTAAACACCCATGTTTGCTACCATATACATAATTGTATTAAGTACAGTCTATTTTAGAAATAAGTAAGTCAGATTCTTTCTCTCTCTCTCTCTCTGTCTCCTCCTCCCCCTGCCTTTCTTTGTTAACTATGTATGTATATAGGGAATACCTAGCACATTGTCTAAATCCCTAGAAATTTTTACTGTAGCCACATATGAACTCATCACTCCATTCTGGTAGTCCCATGACTAAAAATGAATATTTTGATGTAATTGCTTCTGAGCTACTTCATTATTTATTAATAATTGCTTTAAACTGCTGTGGGTTGTTTTCTTAGTGGGATTTTTAGGCTGTATGCACAATAAAAGTGGAAAACATTGAAATACATTTTACATTTAAACTCAAGCAGTTCTCCAATTAAAAAGCTCCCATGCAGCATAGGCATGTCGATAAGTTTCTCTATAGAGCTTACTAGTAGCATTTCAAGGCCTGTTTCTCAGCCTCTTTCTCTGAGCACCAAATCAAATGATCTTTGTCCCTGCTTCAGAAAGAATCTCACTTTACATTGATTTTTGTCCATAAAAGAATGATCTTTCGTAGTTTTCTAGGGTAGGCAGGATTGTATGTTAAGAAGAATTTGATGGCCAAAACTTGTATATCAATTTTCAAACTTGGAAACTGATATTTTGTGGCTGAGTTTGGGATACTTAGAATGAAAGTAAGCTCAGAAAATCACAAGGGTGTTATGGCCATTGTTGGTTTTCATGGATTCCACAGCCTCATTGCTTGTAAGAGTAATAATAATAACATTATAATCCTCATAATAAACCCATGGTCTTTACTACATGCTATGAACAGCTAATAATCTGCATGGTTGGAATTGGAACCTCATGCTTCTGGCTTCAAAGTTTGTTCCTGTAACCACTGCACTTTATTTTTCTATATTGGATTCCTAGCAGGATTCCTTGTTGAAAGATTGCTTAATGCATATCTAAATTAAAATTTTTGCCAGATGCGGTGGCTCATGCCTGTAATCCCAGAAATTTGGGAGGCCGAGGCGGGCAGATCACTTGCAGCCAGAAGTTCAAGACCAGCCTGGCCAACATGGTGAAACCACTGTCTCTACTAAAAAAATACCAAAATAAATAAATAAATAAATAAATAAATAAATAAATAAATAAATAAAACCAGCCGGGCGTGGTGGTGCACACTTGTAGTTCCAGCTACTTGGGAGATTGAGGCACGAGAATCAGTTGAACCTGGGAGGCGAAGGTTGCAGTGAGCCGAGATTGCATCACTGCACTCCAGCCTGGGCAACAGAGCAAGACTCTGTCTAAAAAAAAAAAATTAATTCTGAAAACTTTAATGATAATAGAAATAAAGTAAAATTAATTATTGGGTGGTAGTTTCTTTGACTTGATTTAATGGTCAATGTCAGAATTAGGTCTTATCATAATAATCATTGGAACTCAGAGTCTCTGAACATTATGTAATCCTTGAGATGAAAATATAAGGCAGGAATGCCAATTTTACAAATTTGGAAACAGAAATGCAAATGAGTAAAATGACCTTTCTTAAAATCACTACTCACCTACTTACTTAAAGAACTAAAAATGTTATCTTATATAATTACTTGTTTCTGAATTATTTTCTGTGTTGGTTGCTCTCTTATTTGCATTTGTTTGTGACTGGCAATTAGGCATGGATAAAGGATGCCATGTTCAGGAGCAGTACAATTTAGTGGAAAGAATACTGGCCCAGAAATTGTCATCCCCATTATACCTCTATCTGCTGGTGTTTTGGGGTGAACATGGAAATGTTCCATGGCTGTTTTTGCTTATTTTAAAAAAGGAAGTAGTAATTGTTGCTGCTATCAAGTCTCCAGGGCTTTGTGAGAACAAAATGGAACATGAGTTCAAAAGGGAAAAATATATTATTATAAAATTTTGCAGGATAAAATTTGTATAGTATCATATGTGCAGCATTATAGAATATATATACGTGTGTGTGTGTGTGTGTGTGTGTATTTATAAAGCTTATATATGCTGCCCCTGCTGTGCTACTGACTTAGTGTTTCTGTGGTCCATCCCTCCATCCTCCTCTCATTCCTGTGACTCCTGTGATTTACTCAGGCACGCCTATGACTTTAGGTAACACAGTCTGGTGACTTCTAAACCTATATTGTCAACTTTAACCTCTCTCATATCAAATTCTGGAGTGCTAGCATTCTACTGGACATGTCCACATGTATGTTATATGGCATTTTAAAATCACTATTTCTAAAACTGAAATCCCATTTGGGTACCATCAGGCTTCCACTGCATTTCCTTTCATTAAGTCTCTGCAGCTGGAAACATTGGAGTCAACTGGATTCCTTTTGCCTCCTTTCTTTTACCTTTTGCTTGTGATTTATTAGTGACCAAGTTCTTTAGGTTCTACTTTCTTTTTCTTTTTTTTTTTTTTGAGACGGAGTCTTGCTCTGTCACCCAGGCTGGAGTGCAGTGGCGCGATCTCGGCTCACTGCAAGCTCCGCCTCCTGGGTTCACGCCATTCTCCTGCCTCAGCCTCCCGAGTAGCTGGGGCTACAGGCGCCCATCACCACGCCTGGCTAATTTTTTTGTACTTTTAGTAGAGACGGGGTTTCACCATGTTAGCCAGGATGGTCTCAATCTCCTGACCTCGTGATCTGTCCGCTTCGGACTCCCAAAGTGCTGGGATTACAGGCGTGAGCCACTGCGCCCGGCCTAGATTCTACTTTTTACGTATATCCTGAATCCTACCCCTCCTGTTTATTCTGATGCCACTTACATAGTTTAGGCCCTCATCAAGTCCTTCCTGGACTTGGACATAATGAATTCTTGAAAACATGTTTTTAAGGGGGAACAATACGTTTAAATATTTTAGGGTGAGGTAAGGGTTGGAAGCAAACGGTGTTCTGTGGACAGAGAACCGAAAACTGTGATACAATCATGACTTAAACTTCCTCTATGTACTCTCTGTGTCACATTCAGGAAACTTAAAAATCTTCATCTGTGTCCTGGGCTTCTGGGCTGGGGCACCAGGTGAGGAGACCATCCTGAGGCTATGGTAAATCAAGCTGGGTTTTCTCTCTCCCATGGGCATTCCACACTGTCTCTTTCTCCGTTATAGGTGGGAGGCTCATGCAAGCCCATTTTTAAACATTTGTGCAATGAACTTAGTCAGGATGAAAGAAAAAAAGAATATTATTGTTCTTATCCCTGTAGCATAAGCAGAATGGGGCTTCCGCTGGCTTTGTTCATGCTGGAGGGTCCCTCCTTCCTGCAAGCCATCCCATCCCCATAGAGGTAGCAAAACAGGAAGACAATGGGCTGGGAGGAGAGGTTGAATAGGGTAAGTGGTCCTGTCCTGAATTGTGACCCTGCATGAGTGAATGAGCTTCAAGTTTAAGCTGGATGGAGTCCTCATAGCACCCCATCTACCACCCTGGTGGGGTGGAGGATGGTTCTGCTGTGTGGGTCTCCTTAAGCACTTCGTTAAGCACCCCAATACAAATTATCCGTCTACTCAGAGTTCCCTTGGACCTTCCCTCATCAACATGCCTGACAAGTAGTGCAAACACTAATAGCGCAGTATCACTATTACTAGTCTAGTCAAAGCCAAAGAAAGTCAATTTGATTTGGGAAAGGTAGTTTAGGGATGTCAAAATATGATGGATGTTTAAAATATGTGAAATCTAACCTGTATAAGTTAATAATTACCAAATTGCCAGACTTCTCAAGCGGTCTGTTTCCAGTTTTTTTCTTTCTTGAAGCAACCATTCCACATGGCCACTAGAGAAATTTTTTTCAAAACGCTGATTGATCAATTTTTTTGATAGTTTCCCTTCACCTACAGTTTCCTTCACCATGTTTTCAACCATAGTGATGTACATTTTTACTAATATTCAAATCTGATCTGTTCTTTTAGTTTCTTCATTCTTTTACCTTAAGGCCAATCTTTACTTGTCATTTCATCTGAAAACAGAACAAAATTAAAAAATAAGTGAACTGGCCGGGCGCGGTGGCTCACGCCTGTAATCCCAGCACTTTGGGAGGCCGAGGCGGGTGGATCATGAGGTCAGGAGATCGAGACCATCCTGGCTAACAAGGTGAAACCCCGTCTCTACTAAAAATACAAAAAATTAGCTGGGCGCGGTGGCGGGCGCCTGTAGTCCCAGCTACTCGGGAGGCTGAGGCAGGAGAATGGCGTGAACCCGGGAAGCGGAGCTTGCAGTGAGCCGAGATTGCGCCACTGCAGTCCGCAGTCCGGCCTGGGCGACAGAGCGAGACTCCGTCTCAAAAAAAAAAAAAATAAAAAAAAAAAAATAAGTGAACAAAATATAGCCTCTCAGCTCTGTTCACAAATCTAACTCCAAAAGCAATAGTGAATAATATAGACATTTAATAAAGTTCTTCTGTGTATACCAAACAACAAAACAGCCTAAGAATCTTCTTTGAGCATCTTATCTCTAAAGTTTCATCTTGTAAGGCAGCTGCCACACATTTCCAAATTCCTTTTCTCTTGCTGTAAGAGCTCTATCTCTTTGGGCCACATCCTTGAACCTCTCTGCGGATCTGAGCATCATTTGTGTATTCACTGTAATCCTTTCTCCATTTCTCTCATTTGCACCCCCATCTATCATCCTGCTCTGCAAGACAAAGGATGCTGCTGAAGTTCTACCTGCCTGAAAAGAGGAGAAGCATAATATTTATAATTTAATTTCAGTTTGCTTTTATCTATTAAATTAAAATGAAGTAATGTAGTTTGTGAATGATTCACTTCTGTATAAATTAGAATGAATTAAAAGTTAACACTAGATGAAATCATTCTCAATTAGATTTTGCATGCTTCCTTGAGGAAACAAAAAATTTTGGAGCTAAGAGGAATGTTGTGGAATCTCCTCCACAGCCTGTCTTATCTGTAATAGAGCCTGGAGAGAAACTATTGCATTGATTGTGGCAAAAGTTTCAGATTACTCTTATGCTTTTGAGTTATGAATGTTGAATGGGAATGTTGAAGTTTCTTTTCGGCAACAGGAGAGTTTCTTTTTTGTAAAACTTTGAACAACTGTCCCAAGTCTGACTTCGTTAACTTGGGTTAGGTGCCTGTTCCTGATCTGATTACTGTGCACAGGGATAGGTGATGCCCGGATTGGTCAGGTCTGTGTCACATGACCAATTGTAGCAGAGAGGAAGTCAAGGGTTGAGAGTGGGGAGGGATCATTTCTCAGTGGCAAATAGGGAGTTTTTTGTTTGTTTGTTTGTTTTATTTTGTTTTAAACCAAGAGAGTAAATTGATAATGGTGATGGAAACAGCAGGTGTCTCATTAAGTTGGCCTGCAGGGTCCTGCCTCATCCAGTTCCCCAGCCCCATCCAGCAATGTCTGCTGTTCACTCACTGCACTATGTGATGCCCTTTCGTATCTCTGCTTTTTCACAAGCTTTTCCTATGTCTGGTATGCTTTTCCCTCTTTTCTCTACCTGGTAAACTCCTGATCAAATTGCATCTACTTATTGAGCCTTCCCTTCAGATTCTGTTGGCTACTTTCCCCCCTGACCCATTAACACTTTGTACCTACCTCTCTGAGAGCATTTCTTTCATTGTATCACATTAGGTGTCCCTTCTTCTATTATACGAGTGTCTCAAGGTCTGTGTGCTCTCCATGTCTGTGTATTCTCAGTAATGGACTCAGACCAGGTGATTACATTAGCATTATGTAAAATCGTGGGCCTAGAAAGGTGGAGAATTTGGATTAATTTTATAATTTCTGTTTCATCAAGGTTGTGATTCCCAACTAAGTTTCTGCTGCATTGCTTCCCTGGGAATGTTTGGAAGTGTGTGGGAGTACTTTGGGTTGTTGCAAAGCCTGTGCATTGGGTGCCACTGACATTTGTTGGCCAGGGACCCAGGAGTGCTAAATGTTTTACAGTGCATGAGACAATCCTGCACAAAGAAGGATTGTCCTCTCTAAATGCCAGTTCTTCCATTGAAAACTACTTATCTAGACAAGCATAGGAAAGAGGAGAGTAATTTGATCACAATACAAACTACATGTCTATCTCTCGTCAATCTTCTTTGCGTACACTGTGAATAGGAGAGCCTATGCTCAGTTAGCACATTGCTTGAATGATAGGTTTTTAAACCTAAGTGCATTTCTATCCTTATCTGTTTCCCCATATAATCTGGGTCCTGAGGTTGGAGTACAAGGCTAAAACATGCGGAAGTTCAGGATAAAAGTTTGCCTCTCTTAAGTAAACTTCCCTTGGCTAGGCTTTCTCTAAGACTGGGGAGGAAATGGGAATTAAGTTCTACGTATTCTTTTTTTCAATATCTATGGTGAGATAATTTGATCTTAATGCCTCTTCCACTGCACAGAAGGCTGAGAGTGACTAATTTAAATGATCTTTTAAAAATCTATTTATAGCAAACCTTCTGGCTGAAGAAACCAATGTGGAGGGTGGCACATAGATTTAAATCCAGTTTTCTGTCATGAGGTGTCAGAAAAGCTAAATAGTTCTAGTGTGGTTGTTTAGGTCCTATTCTAGGAAGCACATCTTTTTGTTCATTGTTGACACTGATGTTGCTGTGTTATCTAGAATATAGGAATTGTGTAGAGAAAACTTGGGAGTATACGTCCCCAAGTAAGGTTTTTTGATTTTTTGCTTCAAAGGTGACATTTTTGAAAAAAGATTCCTGAAACCTAAGTTCAGTAATTCATGTGTGATTTTATTGTCCTGTGTTATTATATATAGCATAAAGTCTTTTTGAAAAATAATTTACCAAGAGTCTGAAACTCAGTATTTATCAGCTGCTACTGATAAACTTGATAAAGTTTTTTGAAAGATGTTACATGTAAAAGATACTTCATAAAATCAAATTCTACTATTCTTAGTATATGTTTGTTTCTTTTTTAGATACTCCCAGAAGCATAAAAGCATCCACTGCTACAGCTGAACAGTTTTTTCAGAAGCTGAGAAATAAACATGAATTTACTATTTTGGTGACCCTAAAACAGACCCACTTAAATTCAGGAGTTATTCTCTCAATTCACCACTTGGATCACAGGTAAATGTGGTTGCTGGAGTTTCCTGTGTTTTCATTATATGTGGTTAAATGAATATATTAAAGAGAAGTAAACAAAAGCTTTCTTCTCTTGTATATCTCTTTATGATTTGGGAAGCCGAGGTGGGCAAATCACGAGGTCAGGAGTTCAAGACCAGCCTGACCAATATGGTGAAACCCTGTCTCTTCTAAAAATACAAAAATTAGCTGGGCTTGGTGGCGCGCGCCTGTAGTCCCAGCTACTCGAGTGGCTGAGGCAAGAAAATTGATTGAACCCAGGAGTTGGAGGTTGCAGTGAGCCAAGATCATGCCATTACACTCCAGCCTGGGTAACAGAGCGAGACTCCGTCTCAACAACAACACAAAGATTGGTTTAAGATAGAATGGTTTTGTTACATTATACAAAAATCACAAACACAGGTAATTGAAAGTAATTGCCTAAAAGCAGAAGGAGCTGCTGCTTTTCAGGTTAGTAAGAAGTTGCTATTCCTAAAACAGATTTATTCATTACTGAATTCCTCAAGAGGTATATTTCTCAATTTTAAAGCCAAACATACTTCTTAATTTGTGAATAGTTATCCACAAAAATATTATATTCTAATGCTTTGTAAAATTGTCTGGGTTTAGAGTTTAATAGTCGTATAATTGTAATCATTGACAGACAACTTCCTTTTTTACCTCATAGTTGGCAGCAGTGACAGCTGTCTTCTTGGACATGGATTGTATAAAAATGGTGTCTACTATCTTCCAGCCTTTGTCATATGTGAGACAGGATTAGGAGCTCTGGATGGGGGGAAAGGAGGAAGAAGAAGAAAGTCATTCATGATACTTGACATATACATAAATTGCTATGAAGTAATACCAAATAGTTTAAGATTATTCCTTCTGGAAAGAATAACCACAGTTCTGGGAAGGTCCACCACTTACTATCTGTGGACATTGGGGAAGTCACCTAAGATCTGTATCTCAATTTCCTCATCTGTAAATTGAGGATAATAGTACTGCTTCATAAGTTGTTGTGAGGATTAAAGAATTTATACATATAAAATGCTTTACCTATATAAAAACTTTAATGATCCTGTCCAAGCATGGGTATAAATCTCTTTATTTGGTTTCTCTTATCGCAGATGAGGCAGTCTGGGACTTTGCACATCTTTACTAAATACTAAAGAGCAAACGTAAGAAAATCTATGTGGAGAACAAAATATAGCAAGGCTGACTTAGTGAGGAAGGTTCCTAGGGACATACTATCTCGCTTGCTCTTGGGGCTTGAGGCCCCATTTAATTACATCTTTAGCTCCAAAGGATAATTTCCCAGGCCCTTCACTTGGGTTTCTTTCCTCCCAGATTCTGGCCTGTTTTTGAGGGGAGGGTGCCATCCTAACACTCACCTGGTAACTGGGAAGAGCAAGAAAGGGAGCAATCCCATCTTCAAGGGTTCACTGGGCTATTCCCTTCAGTCTGTTTTTGGTTGCAGGGAGAGGCCTTGTCTTCATGTGGTTGAGATCCAGTGAGCTCCTTGTTTATAGCAGTGTGTCTCTGCCCATGTCCATTGAGCTTTCAGGCAACAAGAGTCACATGTAATAAAGCAAGATTGTTCATTTGCAGAACAACCTGTTGTATTTCTGATTACCTCTACATGCTAGGAAAATTTCGCCTTAATTTTGCACATTAGATTTTGCTTCCCTGTGACTTTCTCCCACTTCCCTGTTTGTAGAGACATAGAACTCACCCAGCCTTCTTCCAGATGACATCCCTTACATAGATGATGGCCACTGCTACCTCCTTTCTTACTGCTCCTGTCTCTGTGCTAACTGGTGCTAGGGCCCTCCATCTGCTCCTCCTGAGGCTTGTCAGGCAGCATTTCAATGGGTCTGTTTCCCTCAACTGTGAGTCCTAGATGGTCAGTGTTTGTATTGGTTCCCAGGGTCGAACACCTTAACTGTACACACTCTGACCAGCACAGACTTCTTGCAATCTGCAAACTTTTTCCACCTAATACTTCTTAAAATAGTTTAATGTTTTTTTAAGCAACTGAAACATTTTAAAGATATGGGCAACTGAAATACCTGACCTTCATCAGGTGGTTTGCTGTCAGGCAAATCCTTTCTTACTCTTCCTGTGAGGTAGATTTATTAAAGTTATAGGCAGGGCTTTAAATGTATTTATTTCAATTGAAAATAATATTTATTGTTTTAGATTATAGAAGTATGTTTTCGTTGTAGAAAAAATTTGGAAAACTGACAGAAAGAAATAGGAAAATTGATACAATCATGTTACTAAAAGACTAATGTTGAAGTTCTGTCGTATTTTAATCCAGTCCTTTTGTCTATGTGTATTGATACGCCATATTTTGTTTAATCAACCCCTTACTTTTGGGTATTCAACTCATTTACTTTGTAAATTTTAATAAATAATAATATGATGAATATTTCTTATACATAAGTATTTGTGCTCAGCTGTTAGGTTTTCTAGTTATACCTTTAAAATTTATATTATTTCTGAAATTTCTTGTTTTACTTATTCAGTCTATGGTTGTATCTCTGTCAATGTCTATGAATTTATCTAGGAAATTATAAATTATGTAGATATTATCTAGATAGGTTATTATTGAACAAATATCATATTTGAGATATAGTATATCATTCTATGATGTGGAAAATAATTTAGATTTGTAAGGCACTTTCATTTGCTGAGTAAGCTAACAGTTATTAAAGGCTTACCATGTGCCAGGCACTGTGCTCCATGCATTACATGTGATTAGTTCATTTATCATCAGTATTCAAGAGTGATTAAGAGTGTAGACCTGGAGATGGACAGCATATATTCCAGTCATAGCTCTGCCACTCATTGCTTTTGGGGCCTTGTACAAATTACTTAATTGTTCTGTACTTCAATTGTCCCCCTCTGTAAATCCATATAGAGTGCTTGAAAATACTAGCTATAAAAATTCACAAACCTCTCATAATCATACAAGATCAGCACTCTTATTTTCATTTCAAAGATAAGAAAAACAAGCCTTAGAGATAAGTTCTTAAAGGTTCCATGGGAATAAATGGGAGTAGGCTTTTCCATCAGTGTGATTATAGAGCCCACCTGCTGAACCTCTGTGCTATCTGGTCTCTCCGTGTCTATGGGAGATCATTAAACTAGGTTCTTTATTGCCTTTTTTTCAGCATCATTTAGCTAGTTACTGACAGAGCCAGAACCCAAACCCACTTTTTATTATTGAGTCTTTTTACTAATGCCCTGTGATATTGCCTTCTATCATCTCAACAGACCTTCTGTTATGGCTTGTATTGGATTTTTTCCTGTTCTTCTTGCTGAAGCTATCTTTCTTTAGTTATCTTGCTTTTCCTCACTCATCTATTTAGTTTCATCATTGCCTAAACACTTATTTCATTATTTTCTGCTTTCTTTCACAAAAATTTTAAGGTGGCTTATAGAAATATCTACAGGACAAGATAAAATGAAACATATACAAATCAGAGCAAACAAAAGGATAAAAACCTTGTTAAATAATTAGGATAATTCAACCATTCTTGGCACTGAAACCATACACATATTTCTCATATGGCCTTTTGTGGTCAAGGTAGTAAGTGTCCTTAGAGAACAAGTTCAGGGGACTTTATGGTAGCTGGTCACTTCAGAAAAAGCAGATCCACAGTGATGTTGATAACATACATCTAGGTATGAAGGTCTTTGAAGCAACACTGCCCCCTTTGGAGACACTTTCTTGGTAATATGCAAGACAGTCATATACAACCAAGTTTTCCTGCTCAATGTGCCAGTGGAGCCTTCTATATGAAGGCCTGGTAAGTAGACTGTGTCCTTCACACCACATTGCATGTAAATTGCTTTTCTCAATGTAACTCAGTCACTTCCAACTGACAGTGATTAGGTGTAGGTCCAGCGCTTCAATGGGTGCATTCTAGTTCACCATAGTAAGAACTCTTCTGCATGCCCTGCTGAAGGATGCTTATTTTTCTGGGTTTTTTTGGGGGGAAGATGGGGTGGCAGTGGCATTGTGACGCTTCTTCTGAGCACATGTTCTTGCCTGCCTGGGAGAAAGCACAAGAGCAAGATCTTGAGCAAGAGCAAGAGCTTGAGCTATCCCTCTGTGAATTTAGACTCTGTGAGTTAGACTACAAAGTCTCTGCTATAGAATAAACATGAAATGAACATTAATATTATTATTAGAGGTGATGTGAGACTGGCTCTCTCTTCCTTATGTCTGTTCCTGACTCCAGTGTTATCTCCATATGGGCTATTTGCAGTGAACACCTAGCTTATTGGGAAGCCTGCTCTGAAGCCTAATTAAAGAGGGAGAAGGTAGGAACTGATGGAGACTGTGGGAATGGTAGCTTCAGCACTCGTGGTAATGGAGTAAAGCGATAGGAGTATAAATACTAGCCAGGCACAGTGACCTATCTGCTCGGCATCTATGTGTCACCCTTTTTCTTTTTCTCTGCTTGTTCAAATCCGGCACGTACTTCAGAACTGCGCTTATATCTCCAGGAAGCTTTCACTGACCTTTCCAGTTTACATTAATTTCTTCCTACATCAGTTTCCAATGTATTTAAAAAATTTGTGCCAGTTTTTTGGCATTCTAACATATAATGTCTTTAATTTTTTTTTTTTTTTTTTTTTTACTTTTAGTTCTGGGATACATGTGCAGAACGTGTAGGTTTGTTACATAGGTATACATGTGCCATGGTGGTTTGCTGCACCTGTTAACCTGTCATCTAGGTTTTAAGCCCTGCAAGCACTAGGTATTTGTCCTAATGCTCTCCCTCCCCTTCCCCCTGACCCCTTGCGAGGCCCAGTGTGTGATGTTTCCCTCCCTGTGTTCATGTGTTCTCATTGTTCAGCTTTCACTCATGAGTGAGAACATGCGGTGTTTGGTTTTCTTTTGCTGTGTTAGTTTGCTGAGAATAATGGCTTTCAGCTTCATCCATGTCCCTGCAAAGGACATGAACTCATTCTTTTTTATGGCCGCATGTATTTCATTGTTATTTAAATATTTTATGTGTATACATGTTTGTTAATTTCATGAGACATTAAAATATCATTTACTGCTTCTGATTACAGTTGTAACAAATACATAATTTAACTTTTAAAAATCTAAATTGTAGCTTTCTTAAAAAATTGGTAATACATCCCAAGGTTCAAAATGTAAAAGGCACTCCATTCCTGTCCCCTGCGACCCAGTTTCTATCCCTGACGGCAGCCACTATTATCATTAAGGCATTCAAAAACAAAAAAATATGTATAAAGAAGAAAATGAAGCTCATCCAGTCAGTGGTTTGCTGGAGCTGGCTTGCCTACTGGCTTTAGGGGCTGAAATTTTGTGAACTGGTTGACATTAGTAGCTTGAAATAGGCCATGGTATGAGTAATTATTCCATGGAAATCAGCAGATGCTACAAAACAGGGCTTTGAAAAATATGCTTTTTCAATGAACCTTTATTTTTGCATACTTTTTAAATACTCTCTTTCCAATACAAATGGGCAGATGAACCAATAGCTTAGAATTGGGTCTCTAGAGAACAGAGAGCCAATTATTAAACATTTACCACTGCCTATAATTCTGACATTTAGCGATAACCCCATTAATGCTGTGGAATGCAGCTTTCTCATCCTTTTCTCAGGTGAATTTGTGTGTTTGTGTAAAATATTTACATAGTTGACAATAATTTTTGATTAGATGTTAAGGTTTTCTGCTGTCAAGGATTGTGCATTAAACTTGCAAACTCTATTACATCTGTCATGATGTCATACACAGATGCTAAATAAATATTTGGTAGATGAAGAAATGAGTAAAAGATGAAGAGAAAGGTTATTATGAGTACATCAGGAATCATAAATGGCATCACAAAGTTTTCATCAAGCTAGAGTGGTAGGATTTGGAGAATGTTCAAATTGCTATATTGATGCAGGGTGCCTAATCCATCCTGAAATGTCCTTAACTCTAGCATGAGGAATTCACTAACTGGCAGCCACTGCCTCGAAACAGCTATAAGTCAAGTTCTTAGAGAATAATGACAACTGTAATAAGCTATATGGCAACATCTCAGCCACGGTGTTAATGCTGGATATCTAATCACACAATTTTTTTGGTTTGGACATATGGATTAATGGGCATGCTCTGGATTCTAGGGTATCTGAAGTGAACTAAAAGCAAGAAGAAAGTAGGAAGGGCAGATGATCACACTGTTGCAGAATTAAGAAGAGGGCTTCAGTCAAACCTTGGCACTGAAACATAGCTTCAAACCAAGTGGCATAATTATGAAACTCCCGGGAACTCCATCAGCAGTGCCCTGGTGTGCCATGAACAAAGCTTCATTTGGCCTCCCAACCTGAGATGCTGGTTTCAAATGGTGTTCCTTAAATAGAGGCTGATATTAAAAATTAAGCCACAAACTTCATGTGAGCACAGTGTAAAAAGAGTTTTGGCTCTTCAGTCATTTCAGTATGTTCACCATCAGCAGCATAACCTAAAAAAAACCAGACAGTAATATATGGCAGTTGTTGGAAAGAGTTAAGACACTCAGGCTGATTAAAGGAGTTCTCTCATTATTATAGTTTTCTGACTATTGTGTTTCGAAAGGTAAATAGAGAATAGAGAAATATTTTTAACATATTGATTCATTTATCCATTTATACAGGAAACAGAAGAGAAATATGAAAAATATAAAGGATTGTTGAAAAGCAAAAGTATATTTATCAGTAAAAATAAAAGAAATTTATTGAAAATTCCAAAGAAACTGTTTCCTTCTTCCATGTTTTACAAAACTGCAGTTTCTTCAGGATAAATAAAATCCTTATGTTATCCTTCATGTGATTTGGTGTAGTTGCCTAGATTCTGTTCTGTGGTTTATAATATTTCTTCTTTATTTAAAATAATCTTGGACTTTAGATATACAAATTTGTTCCAAGGGGTTTATTAGGAATTTTGCTGATATCCAGGCATTATTTATGCTTCTGACTTTGAATGCTTTGCAGATAGCATACATGGAGATAATTTGTGGCAATAGCTTTGCAAATAAATATTAAACTGTCCTGTAGTTTGTCATCATCTTCTGTATTAATAAACTTCAGGTGAAATAAATGAGATTTTTCTATCCTCTTAATATTAATTATACATTCTGGGTGAGTAAAAATGTATTTATGTATGAGGCTGAAAAAATGTGTCTTCATGTTTGTGAGTGCTTGTCATGTATTAAGCCATTTTTCTTTCTTGACATTAGTAAGTAAAAATTAAACTTGCTGGCAATATTTGCTTGGCTTAATGGTTCTGAACTAAAAAATGACTTTGTTTATTATGGAAGAAATTAATAGACTGACATAAAAGCTACTAAACTCATTACTTTCTGCTTGCACTTTATTTAATAAATAACTTTAAAGATAATAGGATTTATAAATTAAAATTTCAAACTCCAATTTCTACATAATTAAAAAACTTTACTTAGATTTTATTTTCTTGAAGTGTTTCTATATCATTATTTATCTCTCACAAAATTACATCTCTGTTGTGTATTTTAATACCTCCCTTATTATTAGGAAAGTTACAATATATATTCTAATGTAGCCAAGCATACATATATCACTACCAAGTAGGCATGGTCAGGTGCTCATCAAAGAAAGTAAATTAAAACAAGCAAATGGAATTTCTCATCATAATTTTTATATAGGTGATGTGATGGACAGAAATACACATTTTAACACACAGAGGTTATCCCATAGAGCACACATCCCCCGTTTCACACTAAAGAAGCGAGGCATTTTTTTTCCCTTCCTGTCAGCAGTCCACTCTTTCTGCAGGGTCAAAGAATGAATCAGTTGACTGCTGCTGCCGCAGCCCATAGACTAACCAGCCCATATTCACTTTCATTACACATTTTGGGTATTTTCCTCCTAGATGGGGATGCAGAGGACCAAGAATATTTCCAGGCAACCATCCTATTCTGACCATATCCAGTTATCAGGCCCTAAATATCTTAGGCCATTGCAAGACCCTTCTGTGTCATCCATCTTGTAGCTCCTTCACATCTACTCTCTTCGCTCCCTATGGACAGAGTACTGGAATTTTGGTTTTTGTGTAAGCAACTGTCATTAAGGAGCAAGCAAACTGTGTTTTGGAAACCAACTTGGTGCTCCTGCTTGCAATTTCTCATACTTCCCGTTTCTGTGTTGCCATATCATTTCTTTATAAATGGCAGGAAAGGTGAATTGTTCATTGGAAATAATTGGCCCATGTAACTTTTAATGATCAGTCTGCTACTTTTTTAAAGTTATTTTTTTCTTTTCAGCATTAAAAAATATTTCTAATGATTAAAAACTTTTTTAACCTTTTCTTCACTTGGGAATAAAAACTTTTGAGATTATAATTTTAGTTCTTTCTTGTTTTGGCTTTGCTAAAAATTTGTGACTTTATTATTTTCCCTTTTGCCATTTTTTAAAACATTGACGTCTAAATTTTAGGAGTCTATAGCTCTTCCTGATTTTCTTTAAGACAGAAGCTTATCATATCTCGATGATTTACTATCTAATACCATGTTTCATAGAGATGTCGTTAATGAACGGATATTTTTTTTTGAGTCATTGGTCCAGAATTCTTTCTGCATGCATGCGTGTGTGTGTGTGTGTGTGTGTGTGTAAAGAGCAAAATCCATCAAATGTATAAATTCCTATTAAATATAATGTTTTAGACAGGAATATTTTGTATTTTTTCTTGTAAATGATGCCTTATAATTAAATGCAGTGACATTAGAGGCTCTGACTTTGCTGAGCACTTAATTTTTTTCTTTAAGAGGATTTTTGCATTTCAAACGTTGCTTCTTTATATGTGTTTATTATTTGGTTGTTATTTCACTTAATATCTTCCTCGTAGATTTTTTTCTTTTTTTGAAATGGTTTTTCCTATCCTGAGATCAGGTAGTCTTGCTTTGTAAAAATATAATTTTTTTATGGTTTCCCTGTCTTAGTCTTGAACCCATCTATAACTTATTTTAGTGTACTTAAGAATTGAGGCTCTAAACATTTTTTCAAACAGATAATTAATTATTCCAACACCATTTTTGTATCTCTCCCCCTCCCTCATTTGAAATATAATCTTATATTTTATATTAAAATCATTTCTGAGCTGTCTCTTCTGTTTCATTAGTCTATTTTTGTACCAGTAATAAACTTACATACATGATTTTCATATTGTAGTTTTTTAATGTATGCATTTAAAAATGCAAATGCAAAAAATTACTACTGAAATGTAGTATACTGTTGTATTCATGGGTGATATTCAAAATGTATAGTAATCAGTATGCCATGGGCACTAAACAACCAAAGCAGGAAAGTGACAAATTAGAATGGACCTTGACTATAATCAACCAGTATGGCTATTTTCTATATGCACTGTGTGTATGTACTTCTAAATTTTATGATATTGGCTAGATATATAGATATAGATTCAAGTATAGATTTTAATATGTATACAATTACACACACCAAATATAGGTGAATATTTATGAAATATGTATGTGTATGTGTAATTTTCTACATACTATGTATATGAAATACATATTTCATAACAGATTTTAATATGTTGCATTCTCATCAGCAGAGTGCCTACTTAACTACTTTCTTCAACAATGATTAAAAAGTTTGCCCATTCAGAAGGTGAGAAGTAACACTTTGTTGATGAGGTTGAATACCTTTTCATATGCTTATTGGCCATGCATATATCTTCTTTTATAAATTGCCTATGTATATGCATTGTCAATTTTCCATATTTTTTATAAATGAGCTTCATTTAATAAGGATATTAATTCATTATCGTCTATATTTTTAATTTGCCTTTAAGTTTTTATGGTTTTTTTATGTACTAAATTTTCTTAAATGATGTGCAGTCTAGTCAATACTTTCTGTCTCTAAAGGGTGGGATTATGTTAATGACATAGTGAAGAAATAATTTTTTTCCTATATATAAAAAAAGAGAAGGCTAATTCAAAAATTCAAGAAAAAGAAAATCTTGTATGAGAAATTTGTGGTCCCTTATATATAATGAAACAAAATTTACTACAATTTTGGACAATTACTGCATTTAAGAAAAAATATCTATCCTTTTTGCTATTGAACATTCTCCTTTGGGTGTTGGAGAGTTTGTGTTACTCTAGTGAGGGAATGATTATCTCAGCACAATATTTGGTATTGCAATTAATACTACATATAGGCATAAATGCAAATACTGTTGATTAGTTTCCTATTGATCTTTTAATTGTGGGTCTGGAAAGGTATAATAATACATCTGTGTTTAAATTTCCATCTTAATCTGCCTTACTATATTAAACACATATTCTATTTTTATGCCCTTTAGTCTTGCCTAAGAAAAAAATTGACATGTTGGACTTAGATGTAGGTATCTAAGGTATCTACTTAGATGTAGATATTCAGTGCAATATCCAACACAATGAAGCTGGTGGCCCCAGTGCAATTTTTTCAACAGCTCACTGTTTTCTCACTGATTTGTAATGTCACCTCAAATCTCCATCAATGCTGAGGTCGGTTTCTGGGCCCTGTTTTCTGTTCTACTAACCTATTTGTTGATTTCTGCAGAGATACTACAATATCCTGATTAATATAGTTTTATAAGATTTGATACTTAAAGCTCAAGTCTCTTTGTTCTTCCTGTTAAGAAATTTTTGCTGCATTTGAAACTTCATTCTTGGGAATAACTAGAATCAGTTTAAGTTTTATGAAAAAAATTTCATTGGTATGTATTGAAATTGCATCACATTTATGGGTTAATGTAGTAACATTTTTATATTACTCAGTCTTCTAATCCAGTAATATGGTTTCTTTCTACATTTTTTAATGTCTTCTATTATCTTCTTTGAAATTACTACATAAAGTGTATATACATATTTTGTTATTTTAATTCCTAAGAACCTTATGTATTGTACTGCTACTGTGATGGGTTATTTACTTTTCTATTATATTTTCTAATTGTAAAAGATGTTTAAGTTGACGTATTACTAGAAAAATGGATTTTGTTTTGTATCAAAAGTAGCATCTTCCACAGGATTTAAATTGCTTTCTCTTTTCCCTAGTGACAGAGTTGAATTCTTTGGATGCAACTCAGAGTATAATAACAAAATTTTTGATGTGCCATGAAAGTTCATTTAATTCTCTTTTTTTAATCTACCATACATTCATATGCACTGATATTTTAATGTTCTTTTCCACAATGAATGTTGAAGGATTGTTGTAATAAATTTTAATTCTTTGGCATTACAATACATCTCTTTTTGTCTTTTCATGTCAATGTGAAACTTCACAAATACTCTTTAAGCCCTTGATCAGTTGCTTAAAATAATTTTACAAAGGGCTCATTTAAAAATATAATTTTTTTCTACAGTTTACTATTCAGGAAATAGAATTCAACTTTTAACTTATTTTGCTATTTCCTTTAGTTACGATTAAGTGTCTACCTTTTTAAAAAGTCCATGTGAAATCTTGTTTTGGTGTCTTAATTGACAGTGGAGTTTATGTTATCTCCATTACCTAAAAAATCTTATTTCTCTTGCTGTTGTGTACACTCCACTTCCACTGATTCTGGAGAGAAGTCTTATATTTTTGTGGTTGAAAGATGTATTGATATGTTTCATAACAGCTGAATAAAAGTCATTCATGTTTGCCTCTTTTTTTAGTACTTTTATTCACTGAGCATTTTGAAAGAAGGTGATTGACATGCTGTCATCTTTCCTTTGTACTTTAACCTTTGGTTATTTAAAACTCTAGGTATTGTAAAAATTACACTTGATTGTGGGATGACACATTCTTGAGGATACTGAATGCATCATAGAATATATCAATTATTGAATATTTCAGCTTAAACCCATTTAATTCAGCCAGTAGAAATAGTCTGAGCAGCACCAAAAGTGAAGTAAGATATTACATGTTTTGAGTGAATTACAAGAAAAATGTTTGCTTTGCAAATGACTTAAATATGAAACTATATACTTACACACTTAAACTTTTAACTACACACTTAAACTATGCACATTTTCAAGAATTGAGCATTATATTTAAAATAATTTTTTGCTGATATAACATCTGAAAACTAGCTATAACTTTTAAAATTTACTAATTTTTGAGTATTAGTGAATTTGAATATTTTGGAAATATATTTGTTAGTAAGTTATTTGTGTCTGAATTGATGAATAGTTTCTAAATATTATTTTTCATTTAAATGAGACTCTTGCTATTTTTCTTGCTTATTTGTAAGAACGCTTTATATAATAAGGATATCAACTTATGCTCCATCACATATATGCAGCATGTATGCATCAGTTTTCCTAATTTAATGTTTGCTTTTAATTTTAAAAAATTGAAATAGCTGCAAACCTACAGAAAAGTTACAAGTATATTACAAAGAACTTCACCATAACAGATTCCCGAACTCCCTAAATATTTTTATAGCTCATTTGCTTCATCACCCTCCATCTCTTATTCCTCTGAGCCATTTACTGACAAGACACTTCATCACCTTTAAATACTCTAGTGTATATTTTATCAAACATTGACAATCTTATATAGCCAACATATAACCTTCCAGTTAAGAATCAACATTGACATTACAATATTATCTAATCTACAGACCCCATTCAAACATCACCAACTATCTAAACTCTTTCTTCTTGGCCCAGGATTCTAGCCAAGAACACATGTTGCATTTGGTTGTCATTTACCAGCATCTTCAATCTGGAGCAGTTCCAGTTTTTTCCTGTCTCTGATATCCTCTATGGTCTTAGAAGTATAGGCCTCTCATTCTGTAGGGCCTCACCCTGGGTCTGTCCAGTGTTTACTTGTTACTCATCTTGTCAGGAACCCACAGAAATGATTATGATTCTTCTTAGTATACCACATCTGGAGGCACACTATGTCAACCTGTCCTACCACTGGTGATATTAACCTTGCTCACCGGGTCAAGTTGGTGAGCTGAAAAGTTCCTCATTATTTTTTCCTTTGGATTTTGATTAGTGTTTTATCAGGGAGAAATTCGAATTTTATTCCAATATCCTGATCCTCATCAGACCTTCACCCACCTGCCTTTACATCCCTTGACCATGCCCACCTGTATTAGATATTATTGCTTCTTAGTGACATGGATAAAATGATAAAATTGAAAATTGACACTTGTTTTTACTCTTACTCTTATTCATATTCTGGTAGTATCAACAACTTGAGAATATATATTTATGTAAAAGTGTATTCCTAAAAAATGGTAACACAAACTTTTTTTACGTATTATTTCCAATGCATATCAGCATTCACCATGTAAGTCCTATTTAAATTAAATGCTATATTTTTTCTTACTGAAATGTAATTAGGTATACTGAATGAAATTCAGGGAAAATAACATCTTATTCCCATAAAGATGATTTGCCTGGCTTTTCTACCTTTCTCTTGATAGCTTTATATACAGTATTGCACGTATTGAACTGATATATCACATACGTTTATGAAAACACGATCAGCGTATATATATGATATATTAGAGGTATATTTTGCTAAAAGGCATTTACATTCATCCTGATATGACTCTTCTGTTTATGGCTTTTCAAATTTTTTATTTCATTAAGTTATTGATAAGCAATAAGTGAAATGGAGCCTTGTTTTTTCAATATTTATAGTTGGTTAAAATGTATGTTTTATTCATTTAAAAATAAACCTCATGTTTTCCACTAGCCAGTAACTGAAATAAATACACGACAGAATCTTTTCAACCTCCAGTTTATCAGGATTCAAGATCTGTTGCAGGAGTTTTGCTCAATCACATTAAGAAAAATTGTGCTTACTTTTAAACTCTCCATTTCTAAGTGGATTCAATAATGTAGAGTAATACGAACTGATAAATATGAAAACGGTACAAACATGCCTTGTGATGTAAAATAAAGATTGGGCAGAAGTACAGGAGTTCTAGATATGAAAAGGGAAGGCTTTATACTATCGTGGAGCATGTTGATTCAAGAAAATGACAAAGTGATGAGAAGTTCCTTGAGTACCTGGACTTTGTCTCTTTTTTTTTCTGTATCCTCTGTGCCTGGTGCAGCACATCTCGTATAGATGGCTAATAAATATTTGCCAACTAAATGACTGAATGAGAAGTACAGAGCATCTGCTGATATCAGGTCTTGTGGTAGCTGGCTGACTTCTTAGGTGCATGGAAGTGTTTTCCCTTCATTGCAAGGGTTAACACTTTCAGCGCCTACCCTGTGTCAGGCAGTTCCCTAAATTCCTTATATGGATTAATCTCATTAAATGCTCACTGCAATCTTGGAGGTAGGTACCATTATTATTCCTATCTTACAGACAAGGAAATGGGACCCTGAGAGATGTAGGCTCATGTCCGATGTTACAATAAGTGACAGAATCAACATTTGAACCAGGCTACTTGGCGTCACAGCCCATCGTCCTAACTATTATCCTGACAAATTCTCAACTGCTTGTTTTAGAGCAGCACCATGAGCTTTCTACTTCCTTCAGAGCTCAAAAACTCTAATGACCAGATAGCACTATTGTTCTATAGTGGTTTGAAGATAATAATAATAATCATGTATTTTTCTCTGTTGGGCATTTTTATTTATACTAACAGTAAAAACTGGCTAAAAAGCCAGAAATCTTTCACACAATTTACTTCTTTATTTCAGCAGCATCACATGACCTACTGAAAAGTTGAGGCAATGTAAATAAATCATGGTCTACATTATTGGGTAACTATTTTGTCTTTTAATTTTTCAAACTGCCTCTCCATAAAAAGTTAATGGCAAAACTTGAAAGTAAGATTTCTAGCATTTTGGCGTTTCTATAATAGCTACAATTTAGGGCAAGGTTGGTTCTGTTTCCTCTAGTTAGGGATGTTCTGTAACCATTTCAGTTGGGAACTCCTGAGGTAATATGCTCACTACAATCAAAATGTCGCCTCAGTGGGTGGCCTATGAATCCTGTTGCCTTCTTCCTTGGCTCTTATTTATACTGAACAACAGGGGAGGCATGATGACCCATGAAGCATGTCAGAAAACAGATGATGCAGTGTTGACAGCTTACTCTGTCCCGTGTGACTTTGTTCTCTCTTTCAAATACAGTCTGCCTAGAACTTCTAGCTGTCTTCCATGCATCAATGCTTTTCCTTTATTGCTGCCCATAGTTTCAGAATATGTTACCTATAAAGCTGTTGAAAATTCCTACACAGGCCAGGCTTTATTGGCCTAAAGAATTTCTATTGATTTTTAGCATCTTAGGACAGCAAATTGTTAACGTAAGAGAAAGGTTGGAAGCCAAATGAAATACTGCATAGAATCATAGGACATTCAGGGGCTTTGAGAGTCACTTACTCACTCCAGATGGACATATCCGTAAAAGTATCATGGATCATTTTTAGGTGAAGATGAAGATGAAAAGCTACCATTTTGGGAATATTACTTTCTTCCTAAAAATTCTTTGTTCTTTGAAAGCGTGCAATTGCAGTCATCCCTTCATAGGCTTGTAAAACCACTTAGGCATCTGGAAATTGAAGAGAAGATTAGTGTATTCTCTTGGGGACTCTCTCTCTCTCTCGTCTCAATTCACAATAGTATTTAATTTATGTATAGGTTGGATTTTAAGATATCGCCAAATTCCTCCCTTTAACTTCAGGCAGAGCTGACTTAAACCTCTCTAACAGATAAAACTATATCCAGAAAAGATGAATTTTATTTTTTTCACAAAATTAAGAGATTGACTTGAGTATCCAAATTCAGAACTAAAATGTGCTTATTTACCATATTTTAAAGTAAAATTAAGTACATAGTAGTGTCTTATATGCCAAATGACTAAGTAATTAATGATTCCTCAATAAGCGTGTTATTCCTTTGTGGAATTAATGTGTCTGTATATTTCTATATCTTTTCATATCAGAGTGAATGCATTCTGAGGATTTGGTGATTAAATACGATTAAATTCAATTTCTATATTTTTGAACTCTACTTGACCACTAATATCTAAGACAGATGGTTTCACAGGTCCAGGGATCACTTTATTCCACTTCCTCTCTGTAGATAAGTAGAATAATGTTTAAACATAATGTAGAAAGAAATTGATATTTTATTTGAGCCTCTACAAATAACTCTTGGGTAGGAGTTTCATCTTTCAATTAAAGTAGGGTGACACCCCAGTTAATAAATGCCTTGGAATAAAATGTGTTTCATAACTTAGCTATATTAAATACATCACCCCCCCTACACACCTGAAAACCCTTCAGAATAGGACCACTAGTACTTATATTTAAATGAACAAACTCTTAATTTTTCTCTCTAATATACTGATCTGTATTCTGTGGAAAAATTATGACCATTTCGGACATTAGAAGAATATAATATATTATAAAGTGGTAGTAAGATGGAAGAGTTTTGGAAAGAAGGAAAGAGTGCAGTTGACCCTTCTCAACCTACCATACTTCAGTGAACACCAACTTGGAGAATTAGTGAAGGGTTATACTTCTTTATTTTTTTCAAATATCATTAACATCCTTTGAGTTGCAGCAGGGACTAGAGGCAGAACCGGTTTGCAGCTGCCATCAAGATTGGAGTATAATGAATCTGATCTCCAAACTGATGCCTTGAGTTTTCAGGAAGTGGGATCTTACTGTATTGCACAAAGGTCATACGCATAGGTGATAAATAAGAAGTGGAAATCGGGCCGGGCACGGTGTCTCACACCTGTAGTCCCAGCACTTTGGGAGGCCAAGATGGGTGGAACACGAGGTCAGGAGATCAAGACCGTCCTGGCTAACATGGCGAAACCCCATCTCTACTAAAAATATAAAAAATTAGCCAGGCATGGTGGCACGCATCTGTAGTCCTAGCTACTCGGGAGGCTGAGGCAAGAGAATCACTTGAACCCGGGAGGCAGAGGTTGCAGTGAGCCAAGATCCTGCCACTGAACTCCAGCCTGGGTGACAGAGCAAGACTCTGTCTCAAAAAAAAAAAAAAAAAAAAAAAAAAAAAAGTGGAAATCATTTGCAAAGTTCTTTTTTCCCCTATATGAATAGCCAACTGATCCCTCACAGTTTTTTAAACAGCTGTTTTTTTCTCTATGCATTAAAATGCCTTTGCTATAATCAGGCGACCCTATTTGTGTGAACCTGTTTCTAAACTATCTATACAGCTCCATTAGTCTACTTTTTTATTCATGTGCCATTGTTACACAATTTAATTACTATACCTTTTTAAAAATTTTAGATGTGGTAGCATAAGTTCTCCAAATTTTGCTTTTTTCAAGATTATGTTAGATATATGTACTTGTATTTTTCACATTTCTTTATAATTCTAGAATCAGCTTAAATTTTGTTTGGAATTTCATTAAATCTATACATAAATTTGAAGGATGACTTACATATTTACAATAGAGAACATTAATTTCTTTCAGTATTGTTTCATAGCATTCTGTAGAGTTGTTGCATATTTTCTGTTAAATTAATTCCTGGATATTTGATATTTTGATGTCATTTTAATTGCCATTATTTGAAATTTTATTTTCTATTTGTTAGTAATACAGTTGAATCTTGCACATTGATATTTTATCCAGTGAGCCTGTTAAATTCATTTGTTAATTCTATAGTTTATTTGTAGAATATTTTGCTTTTTCTATGCACATAGTCATGTTGTCCACCAATAAAAATAGTGATATTTATTTCAAATTCTTATACCTTATAGATTTGAAAATTTAGATGTAGTGAATGATTTTCTATGAAATCACATATTAGAATCCCAACTCAAAAACAGTACAGAAAATCTGAGGGAATGCTTTTATTCCATCATTCCATCTAGGATGGAATGATTTTATTCCATCATTCCATCTAGGATGGAATGCTTTTATTCCATCATTCCATCTAGGATGGAATGCTTTTATTCCATCATTCCATCTAGGATGGAATGCTTTTATTCCATCATTCCATCTAGGATGGAATGATTTTATTCCATCTAGGATGGAATGATTTTATTCCATCATTCCATCTAGGATGGAATGGTTTTATTCCATCATTCCATCTAGGATGGAATGGTTTTATTCCATCATTCCATCTAGGATGGAATGGTTTTATTCCATCATTCCATCTAGGATGGAATTCCTAGATGGAATGATGGAATAAAAATTTGTCAAAGAATTGGATTTTTTCATCCTTTCATCCTGAAGTCATTAGACCTTAACTTTATTTTTTTAATGTTGAGTTTTTCAGACCTTCAAGGAGCGATACTTAATGATACCTTCAAGGAGCGATACCATTAATGATTTTAATTTTCTTCCTCATCCTTTTATGTATTTTCTGTAATTTTGTCTAATTGCAACCTATTATTTTATATCAGAAAAATTATATATTTATGTATATACACAACTGGCCAAGTTGTCAGGTCTTTTGCAACTAGCCATAAGCCTTCACTCTTTCTGCTTTTATTTCCTATTATTCAGAAATACTTAACGAAGCCCATGAATGGACTTTGTAGAATCTATGAAACCCTTGTAAAATTTGTGAGCCAGCCAAATTTTTTGCACATCTGCTATGTGCATTTTCAGATCATTAAAGCAGACTATATTCCCCAGTGGGTCCCCAACCTTACAACAGTATGCTTTTATGATATGACCATCCTTGATGCAATAGGGAAGGCTCATGTTCCTTGAGCCTGCCACTTCTCTGAACCCTTTCTCTCCATGTCTTTCTCTAATTTCTACCTGTTTGGTTTCAGTCACAACTGAGTTGAGATAATGAGAAAGCTAAGCATTAAGCAGATACTACCCTTTATCCAATGGCTTGTTTTAACTCCCTAACTCTTTTGGCTACCCCTACCGCACTTATTATCAGTGCTTTATTATACCCTTTCCTTCTTTTTTTAATACCTGTTCTTAATATTCACATAGGACCTTTTGAAAATCGATGTTTTAAAAATATATGCAATGCCACTTAATTCTTATCTCCAGAATCATAGCTCCAAGTGCTCTTTCTTAGGATTTGTTTGTGTTTTGCTGGCCTCATCATTAAGAATAATAAATTACCTGTAATTTACAAGTGGTCATTTTTTCCTTGTATTTTATATTAAGCTCAGTTATGTAGGGTAATAAGATAGGTTGTTATTCAAGCCATCATGTTGGATGCTAGGGCTTCAATTATGAATTAATTCAATTTGCTACTGATCTTATCTCTTGGTGATACAATTTTGGCTCCTAGCTATATTATTCATGAAAAAGTTTTGTTATCCTCAATGATTTGGCTGCATTCCTTTTCTTGTAACAAAACTTTTGTAGTAGTGTTATTATTAGTTTTGAAACAGCTAAACCTAATTTTCACTTAATAATGTGTTTATTACTGAGGGTCTTTAAGCTACAGAGTTGTTTGGCCTTGTTTATTGACAGATTCTCAGTACCATAGTAAATATTTGTTGGAATAATTAAACTAAAAAGTTATTATTAAGAAACCTCTTTTCTTTAGGGCTTAATGTAAGAAAAATTATTTAAAATTAAAAACAAAATGGTCTGTGTCAGGAAGTTCTGATTGTTGGTCACTGGATATATTCAAACTAGATAATCATGTTGACAGGAATATCATAGATGAGATTTAAGCACCATTAGTTCAGTAGATTCTTGTTAAAACACTTTCTGTCCATGAAATTCATACTTAGTTAAGTTAAAACCCATCCTGAAATTTTGCTGATATTTTAATAGAATGTATAATTGTATCATAGGAAATGCAAGTCATAATAATGACATATGGAGTGCTTACTCTTTACTAAGAATTGTGCAAAGTAAGCACTTACAACTTTTAGTTCATTTAATTGTTAAAATAATCAGAAATTTACAACTCTTATTATCCTCTTTGGATGGGGAGGGGGGAAACTGAGGCTTAGAGAGAATTTTTAACTTGCCTGTTATCACAGTTAGTAAACTGTGGGGACAGGATTAAGAGACTCTGAGTCCTCTTAAATTGCTGCATTATACTGTCTTCCGAATGAACAAATACCATTAGAATAAATGAATTAACAAAAATATCAGAAAAGATATTTCTAATAAGGGATGCTAGAAAATGCACCCTTTTCTACTTGCTCTCCCATCTCCCTTAACATGTGAGGGAATCACTGGAAGTGGCAAGATGAAACAGCCAATTTTCTATAATAAATGAGGAAAGCCACCTAACTCACAATAATTTTGGCTCTACCACTGTAGTTCACTCTTTATATTTCATTATACTAGAGTCCCCGCATACCAGTGATATCCACTAGTTGGATTAATCCACTAGAGTGGATTAATCTGTTTTTGCCTTGTTTATTTCCTGGCTTCTGCATTCTTGCACTTAAAAAACATATTCAAATTGCTCGTTATTCACAGAATCAGCCTTAAGAATCTGGACCTTATAAATGATGCCAAATTGGGATTATTGACCAATAATAAAAATAGTTACCATTTACTGAGTGCTTGCTATGTTTCAGGCATCTTGCTTAGTGTGGATTATCACATTGAATCCTTCTTGAACAGGTGAGGAAACTGAAGCATTGAGAGGTTAGATGATCTACCTAGGTCACAGGTAGTAGTGAGAGGCTGAGCTGTATTTTCAATTCCAAAGCCTGTGCATGTAACTACTTTGCAATTGTACCATCCATAAGCTACACTGATAATATATATTTGGCACTAGAAGTACATATGGCTTTTCTTTAGGTGACTAATTTGTATCTGGGCTGTAGCTTAATGTACTGAGATGGTCTGATCATTTTCCTATTTAGGCTTAATTTAAGGCAGCAGAAAAAATTCTCATTTCATGTTGTGTGCAACCTTTTTGTCATATGAGACATGACCCTATTTTTATCCTTTGATCTTGAGTGATGAAGGAGGTTGTTAAAATGAATGATGCCCTGCCACCGTTGCCTATTTCTCGGAAACCTAATCTTAAGTTAGTTTATGTTTCTGCCAATGCAAAGGATATTTGACTAACAAGGGCATAAATTACTATAAAAGGTTAACTTTATTTCTGATTCCAGCTAACTCTCAAAATTCTAACAAATCAGGGAGACAAGATATGTTCAAGTGTGACAAATTATGTTCCTGGGATTTATAATGTGATTTTCAATTTAGGGTAGTAAATGCTCATTAATGACAGAAGGGAAAATAAAGGATAATAAAAATAAGGTTAAAAATTACTCATAGTTCTATCACTCAAACAATTGTGTTTAAAATGTTGGTACATTTTATTCCAATTATGTATTTTCCCGGTAGTCATAATTTTAATGTGTTGGTTAGAACTCTTGGTTGAAAGGTGATCTGGGGAGGTTGCAGATGGGAGGGCAGTTTACAGAACTAATGGGAGGCTGTGATGCCAGAATTAGAGCTAGGAAATAACGAGAAGTACCCTGATGGGTCAGCAAACAGGAAGCAAAATGCACAGTGACCTTAGCATAACTGACCGGGGTGCTGTTGCTGCCAGCACAAGGAGGTACTACCTGCTCCTCCCTTCCTTGCTGCGCTGCATCAGATTCTGTCTCAGGAAAGCGTGTTTGTTGGAAGAGTGTGTCATGGTCTTGCCTCCAATTGTACCAAGAGAAGACAGAGGGAAGACATGAGCCCTTTCCTTTTTGAAATGGAAATGATAGCTGACATCTACTACTTTTCCTGAGTATTTTGTATGTACTGAGTATTGTTCTGAGTGCTTTCTTAAGTCAGCTCATTCAAATCCTCACAAAAATCCAATGAGGCAAGTACTATCATACAGTGGATTAACCAGATGAAACACATAGGGGTGAAGTAGCTTACTATTACTAGGAGGGGTGCCTGAATGTGAACCCAGTGATCTGGCTTTAGGGTTAGATGTTCAACCATCCTGCTGTGCCGAGCCTTGGTAGGGAGGCAGGAAGGGGACAACGGGGGGAGCCAGGGCTGTGTCCTACTGAGACTCCATCCAGTGGGGAACAGTGGATTTCCTGAAGTGAATATGACTGTTTTTAGAAAAATGATTGATCAAAGTATGCCCAGTGTTCATTATAAAAACTTACAACTATACAATTATCATATTTTCAGGTAGTTTCCTGTATTCATACGATTTTGTGCATTTTAATGGTGACTGATTTTGAAGACATTCTGTTTCAAAAATATCAGAATTGAATTATGGATTGATTCCTTTTGACATATCTTCCTTTCTATTAATGATAGCTAATGTTATTGAGTACTAACCATGTGTCAGGTACACGTCTTTTATATCATTACTTATTTTTCTCTTCACAAGTTTTTGATGGATTACTTATCTATTTTAAAAAACCTGAGTGAATTATGCTAATGAAAATTTAACTTTTGCTGAAGTAATTTAACTCCTTAATGGCTGTTATTGTTTGTAGGGTGTTGTATCACCATCACTGTTACTAAAGGCTACTTTTAGTGGCTTAGGTTTAGGAATTCAATACAGGTGTTATTTCTAATAATTTCTAAAAGTGGGGACATGATAGCAACAATTGGGTTCTTGCCTCATTATGTTGAGAACTGACAGGTATTTAGCAATGGGATGATGCGTTTGCTGATGTTATTGTTTAAAAATGCAAATACACTTTATTATTATAGAACTCATTAGTTGAATTGATTAAATAATGAATACTTGTTGTTAAACAAGAAGATAAAAGGGACTCTCTGGCTGGTGTCTTTTGGATAAAAAAAGCAAACAAGTTGGTATTTTATTCATTCTTTGTAGTTTCTAAATAATTTATATTCTCGACAGGTGGTTTACCTTTTTCTTTTTTATCTTAAAATATCAATTTACTTCATACATATGTTATATATGTACGGACACACACATACACATACAGAGTTTTGTTAAACAAAATGTGATTATACACAGCCTTTTTGTTTACTTAATAGTACACTATGGTATTGTTTCATGTCAGAGCCTCATTCTTTTGCAGAGTGGCATAGTGTTCTAGAATATGGATGTATTACATTTTCTATATGAATGAATAATTGGAATTTTATCAGTTTTTCACTATTTTAAATAAATCTGTGAGCACCTTCTACATATGTCATTGCCAATTTGTGCTATTATTTGAGTAGGACAGATTTTTAGATTCGGAATCGCTCATTTAAAGAGTATGCACATTTAAGGTGTTGGTAGTTTCACCAAGCTGCCTTTTAAAAAAGCTCTTGTCAATTTATGTTGCTGCAAATCATGTATCAGAGTGCATATTTCCCCACATTATGATTGACACTGCATATTATTAATCTGCTTAATTTTTGCTAATCTGATTGGCAGATCTATACGTCAATAAGAAAAATCCATCTAGTTGATTTTTCTTATTGACTTATAGGTGCACTTCATATATTGTGGATATTAACCTCTGATGTATTATGCATTTTATTTTGTCTTATAGAATGTCATTGGTTGTTTATTTATGGTGTCTTTTCCATTGAAAAAGATTTAATTTTTATATAGTTAAAATGTAAAGTTAATCTGTGTTTTGCTTTATGGCTTCTTTTTTATTCCAGTTTCTTTTCTCTTTCAATTTTGGCTAATTTCCCTTTTTTACAAGATTATCCGCAGCAGCATACAAGCACGTATAGTATTTCTCACCAGTAAAAATGAAGAAAAAATCTCTTGACATGTCTCTCAGCATTTACCTTCCCATTTCTTTCAAAGTGTCTCCATTTATTGTCTGTTTCTTCTCTTTGCCATTCTCTCTTGAACCTTCTTCAAGCCAGCTTTCTCCCCTAAAAAGTTTTCTGAAATAGCTTTAGGGTCCCCTAAAAAGTTTTCTGAAATAGCATAATCTCTGAATTTTGCTAAATCCAGAGATTAATTCTTCATCTTACTTAACCTGTCAATGGCGTTTGATACAGTTGATCACTCCCTCTTTTTTGAGGCACCATCCTCGTCACGAGGCTTTTGAGACACCACTCTCACTTTTTTCTTCTCTAGTCTCCCTGGCCACACTGGTTTCCTTTGCTGTGCCTCAAAATGTCAAAGTGCCTTTTTTTTTTTGTCTGTAATAATTCCCTAGGGAATCCCTATGCTTTCCTGGCTTTCAGTGTGGTCTATATGCCTGTTACCCCCATATTCCCATGCCCATATGGACCTCTGTTCACCTCAGACTTATAAATCTAGCTGTCCTTTCTATATGTCCTCTTGAATGTTCATTAGGTACCTTAAATATAACATATCTACATTTAAATACTTGATTTACCTTATCTAAACTTACTCTTCTTATAGTCTCCATCTCAATCAGTGGCACCTCTTGTCTTCTATTTGCTCAAGTACAAAACATTAGAGTCAAAAGCTCCAGCTCCACTATTTTTTTTTAGTTTTGTTTTTCAAAACTCCATATCAGCAAATTCTATCAGCTCTATTTTCCAAATATATGCCAAATTAAACCACTTCCCACCAATCTACCACTACTACTGTGGTCCAAGACACCATCACGTCTCCTATGAATTATTGCAGGAGCTCTATACCGAGCAGTATACACTGTACTCTATTTATAGTCTTTTATGCCTCAGCCCCCTCCTAGGCTTCCCCCCAAGTTCCCAAAGTCCATTGTATTATTCTTATGCCTTTGTGTCCTTATGGCTTATCTCCCACATATCAGTGAGAACATAGGATGTCTGGTTTTCCATTCCTGAGTTACTTCACTTAGAATAATAGTCTCCAATCTCATCCAGGTCACTGCAAATGCCATTAATTCATTCCTTTTTATGGCTGAGTAGTATTCCATCATATATATATATATATATATATATATATATATATATATATATATGATGGAATACTATATATGTGTGTGTGTGTGTGTATGTGTGTGCGTGTGTATATATATATATACATATATATATACATATATATATACATATATATATATATGTATATATATATATATACTTGAACTTTCTTCTTGGTGTCTATCTCCTTTCTTAGGTCATTAGTAATTGTTTTATAAATTTGGGAGCTCCAGTGTTAGGTGCATATATGTTCAGGATTGTGATATTTTCCTTTTGGACAAGGCCTTTTACCATTATATAATGTCCCTTTTTGTCTCTTAACTGCTGTTGCTTTAAAGTTTGTTTTTTCTGATAGAAGAATAGCTACCCTTGCTGGCTTTTTGTGTCCATTTGCATGAAATGCCTTTTTCCATGCCTTTACTTGAAGTTTATGTGAGTCCTTATGTCTTAGATGAGTCTCCTGAAGGCAGCAGAGAGTTGGTTGGTGAGTTCTTATCCATTCTACGGTTCTGTATCTCTTATGTGGAGCATTTAGGCCATTTACATTCAATGTTAGTATTGAAATGTGAGGTGCCGTTGCATTCATCATGTTCTTTGTTGCGTGTGTACTTTGGCTTTTTTTGTTGTTGTTGTTGTTATTTTGTTTTTGCTTTTTACGTTGTATTTTTGTTTTATAGGTCCTCTGTGATTTATGCTTTAAAGAGGTTCTGTTTTGATGTGTTTCCAGTATTTGTTTCAAAATTTAGAGCTCCTTTTAGCAGTACTTGTAATGTTGGCTTGGTAGTGATGAATTCTCTCAGCATTTCTTGGTCTCAAAAACACTGTATCTTTCCTTCATGTATGATGCTTAGTTTCACCAGATACAAAATTCTTGGCTGATAATTGTTTTGTTTGAGGAGGCTGAAGATAGGGTCCCAATCCCTTCTACCTTGTAGAGTTTCTGCTGAGAAATTTGCTGTTAATCTGATAGGTTTTCCTTTATAGGTTACCTGGTGCTTTTGTTTCACAGCTCTTAAGATTCTTTCCTTCATCTTAACTTTAGATAACCTGATGATAATGTGCCTAGGCGATGATCTTTTTATGATGAATTTCCCAGGTGTTCTTTGAGCTTTTTGTATTTGGATGTCTAGGTCTCCAGCAAGGCCAGGGAAGTTTTCCTCAATTATTCCCCCAAATATGTTTTCCAAGCTTTTAGAATTATCTTCTTCCTCAAGAACACCAACTATTCTTAGGTTTGGTCATTTAACATAATCCCAGACTTCTTGGAGGCTTTGTTCATATTTTCTCATTCTTCTTTCTTTGTCTTTGTTGGATTGGGTTAATTCGAAGACCTTGTCTTTGAGCTCTGAATTTCTTTCTTCTACTTGTTCAGTTCTATTGCTGAGACTTTCCAAAGCACTTTGCATTTCTATAAATGCATCCAGTGTTTCCTGAAGTTTTGATTGTTTTTTCTTTATGCTATCTATTTCCTTGACTATTTCTCCCTTCACTTCTTATATCTTTTTTTGGATTTCCTTGCATTGGGCTTTGTCTTTCTCTGGTGTCTCCCTGATTAGCTTAATAACTAACCACCTGAATTCTTTTTCAGGTAAATCAGGGATTTCTTCTTGGTTTGGATCCATTGCTGGTGAACTAGTATGATTTTTGGGGGGTGTTAAAGAGCCCTATTTTCTCATGTTACCAGAGCTGGTTTTCTGGTGCCTTCTCATTTGGGTAGGTTCTGTCAGAGGGAAGGTCTAGGGCTGAATCCTGCTGTTCAGATTCTTTTTCCCACAGGGTATTCCTTTGATGTAATACTCTACCCCTTTTCCTATAGATGTGTCTTCCTGTGAAGCTGCAGTGATTGTTATCTCTTCTGGGTCTAGCCACCCAGCAAGTCTACCCAGCTCTGAGCTGGTACTGGTACTGGGGATTGTCTGCACAGAGTCCTGTGATGTGAATCGTCTATGGGTCTCTCAGCTGTGGATACCAGCACTTATTCTGGTGGAGGTGGCAGTGAGGATTCTTAGCTTTGGTGGTTTAATGCTCTATTTTTGTGCTGGTTGGACTCCTGCTGGGAGGTGGCACTTTCCAGAGAGCATCAGCTGTGGTAGTACCCAGCAGTGGGCAGGACCCTAGAACTCCCAAGAGTATATGTCCTTTGTCTTCAGCTACCAGGGTGAGTAGGGAAGGACCATCAGGTGGGGGCAGGGCTAGGCATGTCTGAGCTCAGACTCTCCTTGGGCAGGTTGCTGTGGGGGTTGGGGGTGAGGTTCCCACGTCAATGGAGTTGTGAACCTAGGAGGATTATGGCTGCCTCTGCTGAGTCATGAAGGTTGTTAGGGAAGTGGGGGAAAGCTGGCAGTCACAGGCCTCACCGAACTGCCATGCAATTCAAAGGGGCGGTCTTACTCCCCCTGTGCCCTGCCCCAACAGCCCCGAGTCTGTTTCCAGGTGGTGGGTGAGCTAGACTTAAGAACTTGCTCCAGGCTACCCACCTCCCAGCTGCAAAAGAACAGAGCTTTGGTTCTTTCCCCACCTATGGAGTCTGCACACCAGATTTGTGCCTTCCCCCAAGTTCTGGCCAGGAGGCTTCTCGCCCAGCTTAAATTGTTACAAAGTTCAGCTGGAGATTTCCTTCTGCCTTTGACATCTTCCCCCATGCCTCTGGGCACCCTCCCAAAGGATCCCTGTGGTGCTAGGCAGGAATGGCCTGCTTGGAGACTCAGTGAGCTCCCAGGGCCTTTCCCTCTGCTTCCTCTACGCTTGTATTTGACTAGGCTCTCTAGATTGACTCAGCTCTAGGTAAGTTTGGAAACTTCTCCCTCAAACAGACGTTCAGTTTCCCCAGTGTGGGTGTGTGTTTGGGAGAAGAGGATCTCCCTTTTCCATTTCCACAGTTGGAGCACTCAGTGTTTGGAGTGTCTCCGGTGTCCTGCAGGAGCAATCTGCTTCCTTCAGAGGGTCCGTGGGGTGGGTCCTTTCAGAATTCCTGGTTTATTCTTGCAGTCGATCTGGAGCTAAAATTCATCATGCAAGCCTCCACACACTGCTCTGTCTATCCGAGTTGGAGCTGCAATCTAGTCCTGCCTCCCATCGCCATAATGATACCATTCTCCCCACGTTCTTTTTTTTAATTGCTGAGTTTTGAGAGTTCTTTTATATTCTAGATAGTAGTCCTTTGTCAGATATTTGATTTGTAAATATTTTCTTCCAAACTGTAGCATGTCTTTTCATCTTTTCACAGGGTCTTAAAATGCACAAAAGTTTCCCTTTCTGATGGTGTCCAGTTTTCAATTTTTACCTTTTATGGATAGTGCTTTTGGTGTCAACTCTAAGAACTCATTGTGTAGACTTAAATCCCTAACATTTTATCCTTTTTTTATCCTAACAGTCTTACATTTTAGATTTTATATTTAAGTTTGTGATCCATGTTGAGATAATTTTTGCATGAAGTGTGAGACTGAAGTTAAAATTTTTTTTTTTCCCTTAACATTTGGATGTTCAGTTGCTTCAGCACCATTTGTTGAAAAAGCTATATTTTTCTCCATTGGATTACCTTTGCTCTTTTGTAAAAAAATCAGTTGGTCATATTTGTGTGGGTATATTCTTGATTCTCTGTCCATATGAGATATGTGACTATCCCTCTGCCCATACTACACAGTATTGATTACTGTACTGTATAAAGTCTTTGAATTGGGTAGATTGATTCTTTCTACTTTATTCCTTCTTCAAAACTATTTCAGCTATTCTGATTTGAATAGCCTAAATGTCCTTCCATATAAATTTTAATGTAAATTTTTTTGCCTTTCCGTATAAATTTTAGGATAATGTTGTCTACAGCTAAATTTTTTGCCATTATTTTTATAGGAATTATATTAAACATTTATATCACACTGGGGAGAATTGACTTCTTTACTGTATTGAGTCTTCCAATTTATGCATATGGTATATTTATTCATAATTTAGATCTTTGATTTCTTTCATCAGTGTTATGTTGTTTTCAGTATATAATACCTGTTTGTGTTTTGTTAGATTTACACCTAAGTAGTTTTAAATTTTCTGTGTAATTGTAAATTATATTGTATTTTTAATTTTGGTATCCATGTATTTTTGCTAGCTTGTAGAAATATAATTATTTTTATATGTCATATTGTATCCTATGACCCTGCCAAATTAACTTATTAGTTCTGATAGTTTTTTTTTATACTTTAAATTCTGGGATACATATGCAGAACATGCAGGTTTGTTACATAGGTATACATGTGCCATGGTTGTTTACTGCACCCATCAACCCATCATCTAGGTTTTAAGCCCCGCATGCATTAGGTATTTGTCCTAATGCTCTCCCTCATCTTGCCCCCACCCCATGACAGGCCCCGGTACGTGATGTTCTCCTCTCTGTGTCCATGTGTTCTCATTGTTCAACTCCCACTTATGAGTGAGACAATGCAGTGTTTGGTTTTCTCTTCCTGTGTTAGTTTGCTGGGAATGATGGTTTCCAGCTTCATCCATGTCCCTGCAAAGGACAAGAACTCATCCTTTTTTATGGCTGCATAGTAATCCGTGGTGTATATATGCCACATTTTCTTTATCCAGTCTATCATTGATGGGCATTTGGGTTGGTTCCAAGTCTTTGCTATTGTAAATAGTGCTGCAGAAAACATACATGTACATGTGTCTTTATAGTAGAATGCTTTATAATCCTTTGGGTATATAACCAGTAATGGGATTGCTGTGTCAAAAGGTATTTCTGGTTCTAGATCCTTGAGGAATTGCCACACTGTCTTCCACAAAGGTTGCACTAATTTATATTCCCATCAACAATGTAAAATCATTCCTATTTCTCCACATCCCCTCCAGAATCTGTTGTTTCCTGACTTTTTAATGATCGCCATTCTAACTGGCATGAGATGGTTTCTCATTGTGGTTTTCATTTTCATTTTTCTAATGACCAGTAATATGAACTTTTTTTCATGTGTTTGTTGGCTGCATAAATGTCTTCTTTTGAAAAGTGTCTGTTAGTCTTTGCCCACTTTTTGATGGGGCTGTTTGTTTTTTTTCTTGTAAATTTATTTAATGTCCTTCCAGATTCTGGATATTAGCCCTTTGTCAGATGGATAGAATGCCAAAATTTTCTCCCATTCTGTAGGTTGCCTATTCACTCTGATGATAGTTTCTTTGGCTGTGCAGAAGGTCTTTAGTTTAATTAGATTCCATTTGTCAACTGTGCTTTTGTTGCCATTGCTTTTGGTGTTTTAGTCATGAAGTCTTTGCCCGTGCCTATGTCCTGAATGGTTTTGCCTAGGTTTTCTTCTAGGGTTTTTATGGTTTTGGGTTTTACATTTATGTCTTTAATCCATTGTGAGTTAATTTTTGCATAAGGTGTAAGGAAGGGATCCAGTTTCAGTTTTCTGCCTATGGCTAGCCAGTTTTTCCAGCACCATTTATTAAATAGGGAATCCTTTCCCTATTGCTTGTTTTTGTCAGGTTTGTCAAAGATTAGATGGTTGTAGATGTGTGGTGTTATTTCTGAGGCCTCTGTTCTGTTTCACTGGACTATATATCTGTTTTGGTACCAGTACCATGCTGTTTTGGTTACTGTAGCCTGTAGTATAGTTTGAAGTCAGGTGGCATGATGCCTCCAGCTTTGTTCTTTTTGCTTAAGATTGTCTTGTCCATATGGGCTCTTTTTTGTTTCCATATGAAATTTAAAGTAGTTTTTTTCTAATTCTGTGAAGGAAAGTCAATGGTAGCTTGATGGGGATAGCACTGAATCTATACATTACTTTGGGCAGTATGGCCATTTTCATGATATTGATTCTTCCTATCCATGAGCATGAATGTTTTTCCGTTTGTTTGTGTCCTCTCTTATTTCCAGCATTGGTTTGTAGTTCTTCTTGAAGAGGTCCTTCGCATCCCTTGTAAGTTGTATTCCTAGGTATTTTATTCTCTTTGTAGCAATTGTGAATGGAAGTTCACTCATGATTTGGCTCTGTGTTTCTCTGTTATTGGTGTATAGGAATGCTTGTGATCTTTGCACATTGATTTTGTATTCTGAGACTTTACTGAAGATGCTTATCAGCTTAAGGAGTTTTGGGGCCAAGATGATGGGGTTTTCTAAATATACAATCATGTCATCTGCAAACAAAACAATTTGCCTTCCTTTCTTCCTATTTGAATACACTTTATTTCTTCCTCTTGCCTGATTGCCTTGGCCAGAACTTCCAATACGGTGTTGAATAAGAGTTGTGAGAGAGGGCATCCTTGTCTTGTGCCGGTTTTCAAAGGGAATGCTTCCAGCTTTTGCCCATTCAATATGATGTTGGCTATGGGTTTGTCATAAATAGTTCTTATTATTTTGAGATACGTTCCATCCATACCTAGTTTATTGAGTGTTTTTAGCATGAAGGGGTGTTGAATTTTATCGAAGCCCTTTTCTGCATCTATTGAGATAATCATATGTTTTTTTGTCACTGGTTCTGTTTATGTGATGGATTCCATTTATTGATATGCATATGTTGAACCAGCCTTGCATCGCAGGGATGAAGCCGACTTGATCGTGGTGGATAAGCTTTTGGATGTGCTGCTGGATTTGGTTTGTCAGTATTTTATTGAGGATTTTCACATGGATGTTGATCAGGGATATTGGCCTGAAATTTTCTTTTTTTATTGTGTCTCTGCCAGGTTTTGGCATTAGGATGATGCTGGCCTCATAAAATGAGTTAGGGAGGAGTCCTTCTTTTCCTTTTGTTTGGAACAGTTTCAGAAGGAATGGTACCAACTCCTCTAGATTTATTGAGATTTTCTATGTAGGCTATCATATAATCTGCCAAGATTGACTTTCTAACTTCTTCCTTTCTATTCTGTATTCTTTTTCTTTTCTTTCCTTTCTTTTCCTTTTCCTTTTTCTTTTCTTTTCTCTTCTTATTGCACTGACCAGAGCTTTCAGCACTATGTTGAATAAGAATGGTGGGAACGAGAGGTTTGCCTTGTTCTGATGTTAGAGAGAAAGCATCTGGTCTTTCACCATTGAGTATGATGTTAACTGTAGTTTATTTATAGTTGCTTTTTATTAGGTTGAGACAGTTCTCCTCTGTTCTTACTTTTCTGAGAGTTTCATCTTTAATTGGTGCTGAATTTTGTCAAATGCTTTTTCTGCATAAGTCAATATGATAAAATAATTTTCATTCCTTTGTTAGTCAGTATAATGGATTGATTTTCAAATATTGAACCAGACTGGCATCCCTGGAATAAACCCCACTTGATTATGGTATATCATTGTTTTTATATATTGCTGAATTATATTTGTTAACATTTTGTTAACAGTTTTTATGTATATACTCAGGGAGCATATTGTCTTTGGTTTTACTTTTTTGTACTATCTTTATCTGTTTTTTGGTGTCAGGGCAATATAAATACATAAAATGAATTTAGTAGTTTTTCTCTCTGTTACTTTCTGGAAGCGATTGTGTAGAATTCATATGACTTCTTTTATTACGTGAGAAAATTCTGCAATGAAACTTCTGGGCCTGGAGATTTAATTTTTTGGAGTTTTAAATTTATGAATTCACTTTTCTTAAAAATTATAGAAGTATACAAGTAATCTGTTTCATATTCTGTAAGTTGTGTTTTTGAATTAGTTCATTTTGTGTCATTTGTCAAACTTTTTGTCTAGAGTTTAGTATTCCCATATTAACCTTTCAATATCTGCAGGGTCTGTAATGAAATCTCCTGTTTATCTCTTAATATTGATATCTTTTCTCTTTTTTCTTCGTTAGTTCATTAATTTTATTGAACTGTTCAAAGAACCAGCTTGTGGTTCATTGATTTTTTTCAATTTTTTTAAATTGTATTGATTTCTGCTCTTTATTAATTCCTTACTTCTACTTGATTTGTGTTTATTTTGCCCTTCCTTTTCTTTGCTCTTGAGGTGGGAGCTTATTGATTTGGGACTTATCTTCTTTTCTAATATATGCATTTAGTGCTATAAATTTCTCTCTCAAGTATTGCTTTACCTGTTTTTTTGGCAATTTTTGATATTTAATTTTAATTTTAATTTATTTTATGTATTTTTAAAAATTTCCCTGAGCCTTCCTCTTTGACCTGTGGATTATTTAGAAATATATTTAGCTTGAAAACATTTGGAGATTGTCTGGTTATTGATTTTCAGTGTGATTCTGTTGTGGTTGGAAAGCATACTCTAAGTGATTTAAATTTTTTAAAATGTTGTTTTGTTGAGGTTTATTTTATGGCTCAAGATATGGTCTGCCTTGGTATATATCCCTTGGGAACTTGAAGGGAATGTGTATTCTGTTGTTGTTGAGTGGTATGTTCTATAAGTGTTGAGTGGATCCTGTTGGTTGATGGTATTTTTGAGTTATATATTCTTGACATTTTGGCTAGTTGTTCAAATAATTGTTGAAACAGGGGTGTTGACGTCTGCAACTGTAATTGTGGATTTTACCATGTATTCTTTCAATTCTATCAGTTTTTGCTTCACATATTTTGCAGCTCTGTGTTTTCGGTAATACACATTGAGAATTGCTATGTCTTCTTAATGGATTGATTTTTTTCATCATTTTTATAGCATTTCTGTTTGTCTTTGGTATTTTTTGGCTCTGAAATATATTTTTCTGAAATTAATATAGCCATTTCTGCTTTCCTTTGATTAATAGTTTCAATATATATTATTTTCTATTTGTTTACTTTCAAACTGCCTAGACTGTTATATTTGAAGTGAGTTTCTTACCAACAGAATATGGTCATGGTTTTTAATCCCTTCTGCTAATCTCTTTCTTTTAATTGATGCATGTAAACTATTTACTTTTAATAAAATTATATGCTTGAGTTTAAGTCTGCCACTTTATTTTTTATTTTATGTTTGTTCTCTCTGTTTTATTTTTCTGTTTTTTTTCTTACCATGGGTTACTTGTTTTACAATTTCATTTTATCTGTATGTTTATGAGTGTGTCTCTTTGTATAGCTTTGTAAGTGGTTGCTGTAGGTATTCCATTATATATACATAACTTATAACTGATTGTTCGTATAGTCATTTTACCAGTTTGAGTGATGTATAGAAATTTTAGCTGTCTTTATGTTTCTTTACCCTCACTCATTTATAACATAAATTCTTTAAATATTGTTTAACATACATTTAGGACACAGACTCTTTTGCTTCAATTTTGAGCTGTTGCTTCAGTTGTCAAACATACTTTAGAAAAGAGGAGAAGGAAAGCTTATTGTATTTACCCATTTTTCTTTTTTACATACTATGTTCTTTCTACCTTCCTGATGTTCCAAAGCTTTTTATTTTATATTTTTCTTTCTGTTTAGAGGTCATTATTTTGCTGTTCTTTTAAAATAGGTCTTCTCATGATAAATTCTCTTAGTTTTCCTTTATCTGAGAATGTCTTGATTTCTCTTCATTCCTGAAGGATGTTTTTGCTGGGTATACAATTCTACGTGTACAGCTCTTTTTGCTTTTGTCACATGAAAAATATTTTACCACTTCTTTATGGCTCCCATGGTTTCTACTGAGAAACACACTGTCACTCTAATTTTTCCTTGTACTTAATGTGCAAGATTTTCTCTGTCTACTTTCAAATTTTTTCTTTGTTTTTAGTTTTCAGAAGATTAATTATGATATGGCTTGATATGAAGTTGAAAATTGTTTTGAGTTTATCTTGTTTAGGGTTTCCTTAGATTCTTGAATCTGTGAGTTTATATCTCTTGCCAAATTTGGGAGGTGTTCAGCCATTATTTCTTCAATATTGTTTTTTAAGCTCGCCTCCTTTCTCCTCTCTTTCTCGGATGCTAGTGATACAAATGTTAGATCTTTTGTTATAATCTCACAGCTCTTTAAGACTGTTCAACTTTTTTTTCAGTCTATCTTCTATTTGTCACATTGGATGCTTTTTTTTCTGTCTTCCAGATAACTGATTCTTTTCACAGTCACTTCCATTCTGCTGTTTAGCTTTATCCACTGAGCTTTCATTTCCATTATTGTATTTTTTTGGTTCTGAAGTTTCTATTTGGTTTTAAATTTTTTTTCCCATTTTTCTTTTTCTTTATTGAAACTTTCTATTTTTTTCATTTAAGTCTTTTCATAATTGTTTTTGTCAGTGCTGCTGTAAAATATTTGTTGGGTAATTCTAACATCCTTATCATTTTAGTCTTGATATCTGTTCTTTTTCTTTTTACAATCTGTTGGAGATTTCTTTGCTTCTTGGTATAATGAATGATTTTTTACTGAAACCTGGACATGTTTGTATCATGTTCTGAGACTTGAATCTTATTTAACCCGCCTGTTTTAGCCAGCTTTCTCTGACACTGCTTTGTCAGGGGAAGGGAGGGTGCCATCTTGTTACTGCCAGGTGGAGGTAGAAGTCTAGATTCCCCACTTGCCTTTGTTGACAGTTGAGGGGGAAGCTTCTTTTATTTCTGAGTTGGGGGAAGTTTCAGCTTCCTATATGGTTTCTGCTGGCACTGTGGCGGGGTGGTTTCATTACTGCTGGATGACTATAAAACTCCTGACTCCTTAGTAGGCTTCCTTTGATACTATCCCAGCGGGGAAAGGGAAGTGTGCTTCATTACTTCCAAGATGAGATGGAAGTCCAGGCTCCTCATTGTATGGTCTTCACTAGTGCTGTGGGGGGCCTCATTACTGCCTGGGAGGGTTAAAATTCTTGGCTCTAAACTTGGCCTTCTCTGACACTATTCTGGTGTTACATGCCTCATTTCTGCTTGAACAGGGTAGAAATATAAGCTTCTTACTTAGCTTTTGTTTGGCATGGTTTGGGATGGGGCCAGTTTTTTCTGTGATGTTTGACTGGAACAGAGAGATTATTATCTAGCAGTTTCTGTCTTGCTAGACTGATCCTTTCTTTGTTCTTCAGCTAGAGAAAGCAGGCTCATCTTGAGGATTTTTTAGGTCTACATTCATTGATATTTCCAGATTGAAGCCTTCTTTAGCTCCAAGTCCAGGATATATGACACAAAATGGAAACCCATTGAACTCACTACCATATTGTTCCTTGGATCCTGAATATCTTTTTTTCTCTATCTTCTAGATTCTTCTGTGTTTGTTTTGTATATGATGTCTAGTTGTACTTAGTGGGAGAACTAGGAAAAGTACATCTATTCCATCCCGTAGACAGAGATCACTTCAATCGTTTTTGAACTTTATTTTTAATGTGTCCCATGTGGCTCTTCTCTCTGCAGGTACCTGGAACTGGAAAGTAGTGGCCATCGGAATGAAGTCAGACTGCATTACCGCTCAGGCAGTCACCGCCCTCACACAGAAGTGTTTCCTTACATTTTGGCTGATGACAAGTGGCACAAGCTCTCCTTAGCCATCAGTGCTTCCCATTTGATTTTACACATTGACTGCAATAAGTAAGTGTAGTGTCCTCATTTTAGGAAATGGAAGATTCTAAGAAATGACTGTCTACTCACGTTCCTTCTTTGATGTTTCTTTTTTGCAGAATTTATGAAAGGGTAGTAGAAAAGCCCTCCACAGACTTGCCTCTAGGCACAACATTTTGGCTAGGACAGAGAAATAATGCGCATGGATATTTTAAGGTATCTTTTGGCAAAAGTCTGAGAATGAAATGTAAATGCTTTCTAATGAGTTTCAAAAAGTAGATTTTACTTTTTATGGTGTGAAACAAAATAATTTGATTTGTAAATTAGAAAATTTGTGTCTGTTTCATTTTTTTAAACAGTAATATTTTAGCCAGCAAACATTATTTTCTCTTCTTTTTTCAATGAGTTTAATTGTTAGATATTACAGAAATGATCACAAGGCTGCAATCAGGGCAGTTAACAGGTCATTCTTTGAATTAACCTTTCAAAGCAATAAAAATCTAAAATGTTAACATACAAATAAACTCTCCACCACTGAAATATAACCTTTGATGATACTTTTACAAAGATGTTAATAGCGGATTGAAAGCTTTTTAGTATATATTATTCATGGTCTCCTTGTACTGCAGAAAGTGAGAAAGGAATACACATATGTGCACAAATCTGTCAAAAGAGAAAGCAGTTATAATTTATATCTTTTCCTTTAATATGTACTTGGAGACAACACTTCATAGAATTTCTTCATTGGAGAGGCTCTAAGGGACATGTCATTTAACTTTCCATATTTTAAAGATGAAGAAATAAAGTCCAGAGAATTGCTTGACTACAAGCCCATAGTGCAATCATTTTCCCCCAGTGGCTATGACAGTCCCTACAACATGGAAGTGGCTCGATGAATGATTACCAAATCAAACAATGATAAGTGATAGTTCAACTCATAGATTTCAAGGTAGATCACATACCAGTGAATTTAATTGTTTTCTAAGCAAAGTTTATAATTCTATAAAGGTGTTTTGGGAACTTATTTAAGCATTGCCTGTTACCAGGAAACCAGATACTTGAAATATATGATTCCATCTAATAGTAGCCTTGCTAGTCTTGATGCAGGGTCATTTTTTATTTCTGTTTTATTATGCATAAACCTGCACAGAGGGGTAAAGTAACTTGCTTAAAGATAGGCAAATAGTAAGTGACACAAATAGGAAATTGGTTCCATGCTTGCAAATCCTAAAACCATGCGCTTTTCCCAGGTAAGGGATAGCAGATGTGTGCTGTGAGTCCCAAATCTCATCTCTATTTAATCGTGACAGTCCTTCCCATGGAGCCTAAGTGTGGCCTCAAAATCTCCACATGTCAATTATGTGTACAACTCTGGGGGTCATTCTCTTTATTGTAGTCCATAAATAGTATCCATTAGAGTTGTACAGTGCATAAACTATATAACCGTACACGATAGCCTTGTTTTTATGTTGCTGCTTCTAAGTGATAGGAGTTGGTACACAATTTATTTCATCAATCTAGGCCCAAGCACACACTGGATCCAGTAATACCCACACAGTAAAAATACTTAAATATTTATCGTTCACATTGATACATGCTATTAATCAGATTAAACATGTACAAGACATAGAGACCAGTATTTGACTGGTAAATCTTTATAGGTACGTTTAAAATTATATTGATGTCATGTTGGTACAGTTATTCCTATCATTAGATATTTTGTTTGCATTTTTCAAATGGATAAAGTAAAATATTAATTTAATAAAATATATAAAGGCCATGAAGAAATGGGGGGAGTGTGGCAGATAAAAGAGACAGCTGGATGTGTCTGATAGATCATTTCTGAGCCACCATTGGTCTTTGCTTTAGGAGCCCAGCAAGCTGGAAGCTAATTATACCTTAATGACTAAGTATGCATGTAAATTTTGCCTATAAACATGTGATAAAATTTTCTATGTAAAACAGGTCATTTCCAGCTGACATTTAAAAAATTTTCATTTTAAACTTTCTGTACTCATAAGAACTCATCACTATATTTTGCTGTAGCTGTTTAATGAATCTATTGTCCTTTTTAAATTGAGAAATTAGTTTTAAAAGATCCCACTTTCATGAGATGCTCAAATGAGCATGCTTTCATGACTCAGTTTTTCTATCCTTTTCTTTAATAATTAAAGTTAATTTAAAATTGGTATCAATTTCAGAGTTGCTGAAGCTAGAAATTATTATCAGGTTGATTTTTTTAAAGGTCATTTTCAAGCCCGTCAGTGGCTAACTAAAAATAACTTCTCAAAACAACATAACTATTGCCTCTTAGTTATATCTTGACATTTAATCTTAAGGCTTTAAAAACATTATCAATAAGAGAATACATGGGTAATCATCTATTGTGCCTGATGAATTTCTTTCCCTTTGGTATGAAGTGGAAATAATGTATTAACAAAGACTTTTTACTCAGGGATTTTAGTGAGTGTGTTCTGTAATATTTTCCTTCATGAACTTGACCATTGAACATAATTTGGGTAAATGAAAGTAATATGTCTTTTTTTTCTATTTTTCACACACAGGGTATAATGCAAGATGTCCAATTACTTGTCATGCCCCAGGGATTTATTGCTCAGTGCCCAGATCTTAATCGCAGTAAGTCTATTAGTTCTTGCACTGTGGAGTCCCCATATATTACTTGTCAGCATAGACTTAACCAGATTGAACCCCTTATAAATGCATCTTGACCAAATGTAGTGTTTGTAATTCCAGCCTGTCCAACTTGCAATGACTTCCATGGACTTGTGCAGAAAATCATGGAGCTACAGGATATTTTAGCCAAAACATCAGCCAAGGTAAAAGCTACTCAAGAATACAGTGTGGAAGCTTAAAAATCCTTGATGTTCCCAATACTTCCATTTATAACCATAGATTTTCACCTTCGAGGCTCTTCTTATACTATACTGTTTGCTAGGACTGAATCTAAATCTCTGCTTAAGGAAAGGCTTATAAATATTAAAACCCTAGCCATCTGTATAACAAATAATTCAGTAAATCAGGAATGAGGCAGATTACCTAATTTATACACTGCTTACTACAGGAGGATTTATTGTTTAGCTTTTATTATTATTTATTTTTATTCAGTTTTTCATTACAAGCAAGGAGGCAGTAGGACAGTGTAAAGAATATAGACACCAGAATTGTATCAAAGAAATGGTCCCATAAATGCTTTCTACCACTATGTTACAGTTCTAGGATTATTTACTAATATCTTAAGCATATGTCAGGTTTACCTACAATTTCACTAGACTTGTAATTTTGTATAGTAGTTACAGAATACCTGATGGTTGTGTTGTATGGTGTATGATTTGTTTCTTATACAACATAAATTCTGAATTTTATTTTTTTACTTGAAGAAGCATATAAATGAAATTAAACATTTTTCTTTTAAATGGAAAGTGCTTCTCTGCATTTGAGTGATGTTTTGAATTAACCTTTGATTTATGTCTTATAAATTATGTTGTTTGTTTCTAAGGCAGGGAGCAAATTTATCACAAAAAGAAGAGGAGAGAAAAAAACATTCTTTTAAATTAAATTAAAGTCTTAAATATGTTTATGGCAAGTGGTTGATAAGCACAGCCATCATCATTGCTACATACTTTAAAAAAAAGATACCTGCGGAGTGTTTCACATTTCTGTGTTGCTGGAAGGATGAACAATGTAAAACCCGTTCTTTTGTGCCACAGCTGTCTCGAGCTGAACAGCGAATGAATAGATTGGATCAGTGCTATTGTGAAAGGACTTGCACCATGAAGGGAACCACCTACCGAGAATTTGAGTCCTGGATAGACGGCTGTAAGAACTGCACATGCCTGGTATGGCTTCTATTTGAGTTGAGACTAAGGGAACTCAGATGCTCCCACTCTTTAAAAATTTATTAAAACAATGTAATCATGAAAATTTCAAGACCCATTTCCTCAAGACACAACACTAAAGTGTCAACAAACCTGGTCATATCTAAAGAACTGTGTTGCATTATTAAAAACACTTTCTAGCTTCTAAAGATGATTATGGTTTAGGAATGCTATAAAGTTTAAGTTTATTGGTACACACATGAAGTTAGCAATTTAAATTAGGTAAAGTGATTCCTAAAGAAGACTATCCTCTTATCCTTAACATTTCCAGAGATTTTTCTCCCTTGTGTTTTCATGAATGCATTTTCATGAAACTAAGTCATATGCAGCATTAAATATTGTGTCCAGATTGAGCAATATAAGCAAATTAGATAGAGTTTAAATGATTGGGACAATCTAATAGTTTATTAATACAGTGGAATACAAATTATAAAGTTTAAATAAATGTGATTTTGCTAATTGCTCGCTAATGAAGTAGAATATTTTATTGCATTATGATTTCAGAAATATATGTTCATTTTCAAAGAAAAGTTCAAAGAGTTTGGTTTTAAACTTTTAAATTACACATGAACTCATCTGTTAAAGCTGGTTTTCTGGAAAGAAGTCAGACATCTATGTGAATTAGGCTTTTAAAAAAATTTCTCAAAGTTCATCCAGTTTATTCAAAAACAGAATATCATGCATATAAAAAGATCAAAAGTAGTTCAGAACTGTGTGTGTGTGTGTGCGTGCGCACGCACATGCATGTGTGTGTGCGTGCGTGCATGTTCGTGTGCATGATACAGTTTTTATTCAGGAACATGATATGTTCCTAAATTTTTTAAATGGGGAGCAAAGGTTAAATTGAGTAGAAGACGGAATGTGGTATAGTGAAGTCAATAAAATGGGAAGCCCGAGCAGCCAGCTACCTGGGAGCTCTGGCCACCTTTAGGAATCAAATTCCTTGCGGTGGTCCTGTCTCCAGTTTGGCGCCTCCTTGTGGTGATTGTCAGCACCGCCTCCCCTCCTGGCAATGAATGGCCTGTTCTGTTCTCTTCACATGAAGAGTTTAAAATTTAAGGAATGAATTCAAAAATTCTTGAAAACTACTAAACTCTAACATGGAAATTCTTTAAATATTGTTTCCTTTTCAGAATGGAACCATCCAGTGTGAAACTCTAATCTGCCCAAATCCTGACTGCCCACTTAAGTCGGCTCTTGCGTATGTGGATGGCAAATGCTGTAAGGAATGCAAATGTGAGCATAACTTTTATGATGAATACTTTCTTTGGAAAAATAAAGCACTGTATTAATAAGTATTCACCCATCATTGGTTTAATCTGGGCAAGCTAAATAGCTTTCAGAAGTGATGGAATAAAGGAAGAATACTTTCTCTGTTTTGGTTGATTAGTTCTTTTCCATTTTAAAATGCTATGCCCCTATTCCAGTAGGACAATTTTTTCTTGGAGTAATCTATTCCATATAGTGATAGTAGTAGGAAACATGTGTAAGAAACTTACTGGAAGTTATTTCACTAATTGTACTATTTATTGTAAGTGTCTCCCAAATAGGTTAAGAATGGTTCACACGGCTGCAATAACCAAAGAAATCCATGATACAAGTGGCCTTCAGCAGCAGAAGATATGCTGTTCCATTAGCCCAAACAACAGAAGTCCACATTATTATAGGATTGTCCAGTGTAGATAAGGGCCATGGCCTTCATTCAGGGAAAAAAAGGCTCACACCACCATGTGTGGAAGCTTTTCTGCCTTTTAGCAGTCATTATATAGCAGTTCACTTCGGTTGTCAGAAAATACTTTTTGACTCATCTGTAACTACCCTTAACTGGGTTCTAGATCGTTCAATAAATAATGGAAATAATTTATTTATGTTTCTTATACTTTAAAAGACTTCACTTAAACCTTTGTTAAAAAGAGTGTTTAAAAATTTTGCTGTTTTTTCCACAAAGGAGTAGTAACATACATGAAAACTGAGTTGTTTTAAAGTTTGTGGAATATATAGAGCTCTGTAAATGCAAGTGTATTTATATGTATACTCTCAAAAAGACAAAGTAGGGAGAAGTGGCGGCGGGGTGGAGAGAAAGACAGTAGCAATGTGCTACTGCTGGTGAGGGTGACAAGCTATCAGAGAAAAATCAAGAAGTTGCTTCATAGTCCGTTGATTTAATTCCCTCAGGAAGGCATTTATATTTAATTCTATTAGGCTTTACATTGAAGCCAGTCCGTCTCATAAGACTGTATTAGCCTAGTCAAGTCGATTCAGTGGAACTAGGAAGGATTGAATACAATTTTTCTTACATGTCACTAGCTAATTTCCTTGGTGAGAAATAATCTGCATTTTTCTAGGACTTCTCTTAATAAAAGGAGGCTTGTGGCAATATATAGTTTTGTTTGTAGGTGGTTAGAAAGAGGAAGGAAGAAGGACCATATATACATATATGGCTTCATATTCATAATACAATAGCAAGGAATCATACTTTTTGCCTTAACTTCTTTTTTTTTTTTCTTGAGACGGAGCCTCGCTCTGTCGCCCAGGCTGGAGTGCAGTGGCGTGATTTCCGCTCACTGCAAGCTCCGCCTTCCAGGTTCACGCCATTCTCCTGCCGCAGCCTCCTGAGTAGTCGGGACTACAGGTGCCTGCCACTACGCCGGGCTAATTTTTTTGTATTTTTAGTAGAGACGGGATTTCACCCTGTTAGCCAGGATGGTCTCGATCTCCTGACCTCGTGATCCGCCCGCCTCAGCCTCCCAAAGTGCTGGGATTACAGGCGTGAGCCACCGTGCCCTGCCCTGCTTTAACTTCTTTTATCTTTCTTTACATCCATAATTTTATGTTGTTATTCATGGATATGACAGATTTGCATTAAGTGATGTCAGTGTTATTAGATACAGGTTGATTGAAATAACGGGCCATTGTGAGAGATTCGTCAGAAGTGAATTTCAATTCTCATCTTACCATTTGCCTGTGTTACCAAGAGTAAACTGCAGACTAAATCGGACTAATGCTTGAATTCTTCCCAATAAACATGCGGTTAGACATAATGAAATGATAAAATGTTTTGAGATTCATTAATGAAGAGTGTTTCAGGCAGTCTTTGGTGTTAATGATTGAAAACCAACTGTTTGCTTCATATAGAAAATAGTTAAAGCTGGAAGTGAGTGATCAGTGAGCAGACCACAACATAATGAAAAAAAAAAGCCATAGGCCCTCATTAGATATGGCTAAAAAATAATAAGTATTAAGCGACTTTATCTTTCTGTTCACATTTAATGATATATAAGTACCATGGAATAGAGAGGAATAGAGAGGGTTCATGCTTATGTTTGCTTGTTATTTCAAAGATTTGAAATTTTAGTTTTAATGAATTTAACATTTTACTAGAGCTAGCAAGACATTTCAGTAAACAGCCATAGATATTTCCCCTTAGGGAAATAAGCATTTAGTTCATATGGTGAATATTCTTAGCGGTTCTTTTTGGGAATGAGTCTCTGCAAAGCACAATTTAAAAATAAGTCACTGACAATATCCAGAAAATGTGCTTCTGAAAAGTCTTGTAGAAGACAAATAACACTTAAAATAAATGTAATAGTAATCCTTTGACTGACTGACTTAAATAGTACAGATTTTCATATGTATTTAAAAAAAGTGGGAGAAACCAATAGTTACACATGTCTATGATGTCTTGTATGTGTGTTTGTGCGTGTGTGTGTGTATCACCATTGCATGTGAGGAGAAACAGTCTTATTTTCCTATGTTAATTCCACAGTAGTGTCACTGTTATAATTTATGAAAATCTAATTTTAGTGGAGTAGAAGTAAATTCCTATGTTTTTTACTCTTTTAAATATAAATATAAGCCCTCTTCTTAGACCCTACATTGATCCTATCTTTGAAACGCTTCTGCTCAACTGCCTTTTTAATGACAAAACCTGATAAAATAGATTATTATTGAAAACAGCTTAAAGAGATTAATAGCTTACTGTTTCTAAAGCCCTTGGAAGGTAAAGCGTATAACCTAACTGCTGAATGTGACTCTGCCAAGATTGAAATGAACGAAACACGTGCATGTGGCCAGTCACTTTTTGGTGCTCTTCCTTTAATGCTTTCAGGCTTGCTTCATCGGAGTTGTTTGCGCATTTCTGGGCAGTCCTATTTTGCAGCTTCCTTTATACTTTCCCTCGGTAACTTCAACTCCAGCTCGTTATCTGAATATAAATACTGATGAATAGCAAGATGGTTGTTGTTCTGGGAAAGAAGTCAGAAGAAACCAAGCCTTTTCTTTAGTTGAATCTACATAAACAAAGCATTGGGAGGAGGGGCTTAATTTCCTGCCTGGACCATTAAAATAGTGTGCTGGAGTTAAACAGAGAGGATAAAATCCAAAGGCAGGAATGCCAAGGCCAAATCGTTAAAGCCATAGTAATTACAGCCATAATGAAGCCATATTTCTCCTATAGGTTACAAGACACATACTTTGTGCCTCATTTGATCTTTACAGCTCTATAAGTACGTATTATCTCCATCTTCCTAATAAGGAGAATTCCAAGTCATTCAGGAACGTGCAGTTAGTTAGAGGTCTCAGAGAAGTTCCATCTGAAAGTGCTGTGTTTGACAGCCTGCTTTCCTTTTTTTTTTTTAAAAAAACCATCTGTTATAATTAATCTAAGTGATCTACTTTTATCGACCAGTTGCTAAGCTCACCAGAGGTGTTTTGGAATCCTGGTTGAGTCTTAGGCAGCAGAGTTTGCCTTCACCACTCATCCTCTTTCCTTTCAGTCACCATCTCCTCCACATCCTTTATCCCGGTCTCAGGCTCTCAACTAGCAAACAGGGACATTTAGTGACACATATTCAAGATAGCTGTAGAAAATGGAAAGTATAAATATTTTAGGTGACCTTAACTCTGAAATAGAATGAGGTCAAGATATGATTAAAGTACATAAAATCTCAACCCAGGTTTAAAAAAAAAATTATCAGAAAATAATTGACTGAAATTCTAGGAAATCAAATGTTACTGAAAGTCACTGAATTTAGGAAACAATTTAATTTTTCTGAATATTAATGCTATTACATGGATGCATGCCTTTATTTATTTATTTATATTGATTGTAGATTCAGGCTTGTGTACAGAGCTCTGCTTCACAGGAAAGGCGGTTCATGAGAATAGGGAATCTGAGGCAAATCTGAACTGATGCTGTAATGTCTTTCCTCCATTGTTAGAGAGTTCTCAAATACAGGGAATGTGAATGTGACCATCAGAACTGGTTGGTATTTGCCTAGTAGCAACAGTTAGTTTAAGTGGTATTTCCTCAGAGTCCAGAATTATATGAATAAATACAAATCATCATTCTTTTGGTTGAGCAAGGTCAGAGTTTCAGTATATAATATAGATTACACTTTAATATTCTATGTGCTGATTAGACATCAGATTATTTTAAACTTAATTTTAAAAGCCATCTTGGTTTAGTTAAAGTGGACTTACTGTAATATCTTTGCATATTGAATAGTTAATTCTGTGAGTTACAAGTCGGATTTTCTGGGTCTGAATTCTGACTCCACAACTTATTAGCTGTGAGACTTTGGTCAAATTGCTTAACCTCTCATGGACTCAGTTGCCTCATATGTATAATGGAAATAACAATTGTATCTACTTTATAGGGGCTGTGTAAGCACTGAATAGGTAATAAATGTAAAGTGCTTAGAACAATGTTAACTGTTATTACTGTTTTTATTAAAAGAGTCACTCATGTTTTTATTGATAAAAATACAAAGTAGTGAAATGATCTCATTAGTTCATTAGCTTTAGATTTTAAAGCTACGTAGGACCTCAAGAGTTCTTTGAAATAGCCATTTGCTTTTGGGAGGTATGGTTTCATTATTCCCATTTTATAGAAGAATAATGAAGCCAGGTAGATTGTGACATTACTAAGATCAAATAGTATGTAATGCACGGTAATTTTTTTCTCTCAAATTGTGTCCTGATTTCCCCAAGACCACTCTCTTCCTCAATATTGTGGGCGTATCTTAATCAAGGTTGAAACCCAGAACTAATATCTCATTATTATGTACTGTTTTGTGTGTCTGGCTTCTTGTACTCAGAATCACCTTTGTGAGGCTCATCCATATTTCTGATGCGGGTCAAAAATGTAGCTGCATCTCATTCATACTTATTGTATCATTTTGACGTCCACTGCAGATCAGTTATACTTATTGCTGCATATATTTTATTTGTGTTTATGTACCACAATTCAGTCTATTGTTGGATGGCAGTTAGGTAGTTTGCCGATTTGGGCTATGTGAATAGTACTCATAGAATAATTCTTTACATGTTTCTTGGTCTTAGTTATGTATGTATTTGATGGGTATATATTTAAAACAGTGGAATTGTTTGGTCAGAGGGTAAAACTGTTTGACTCTATGGCAAAACCAGTTTTCCAAACAGTTTTCCAAAGTGCTTATACTAGTTTATTTTCTCACCAACAAGGTAGGAAAATTCCAGTTGCCCCACACCCTCACCCACACTTGGCATTTTTAGTCTTTTTAATTTTAACATTCTGATAAATGATGTTGGTAAATGATATTGTACCGCGGCCTAATTTTGTTATTTCCCAGGTGACTAATGAAGATGAGTGCCTTTTTGTATATTTATGGGCTGCTTTCATTAATATTAAATAATAAAAAGTAAGAGTAAGTATTTTCTATTTATACTTTTCCAAAGAACTATTTTCTTGCTTTTAGTAGAAGTGGTAATTTGGGAGGCTTATTTTATTTGCACATCAATATAGATGATTCTAGTCCTGTCACCTTAAAATGTGTAGCAAAGTAAGGGTAGTGGAGATTAAATGATTGCTGCTCAAGTACTTAGTGATTTTAAAAATTGGATGATAATCTGATAAAATGGAATCAGAGATTTCTGAACATGTGTTCTTGACTTTTCAACAAAAATCAGCAGAATATAATTCACCAATAATTTTTTTTTGTTTTTAACAGAGGGGGAAAACATAATTTATGTAGGCTATGGTGAAAAAGAAAATAATTTTGAAACAAAGTAACCAGTAAACATAGCTATTTTTACAATAATGCTGGAAGCATGGGAAATATTTAGGATGTACTGGAGGTTCTCATGCATGAACACAATTATAAATTAGTTGGTGTGATAGAGACACGAGGGGCCACATGAATAGAATGCCAATATAAAATGAGAGGAATTATGTAATAATGAAAAAGGTAGAAGTAGCAATCAAAAGAAAGGTGTGTTGTTTTACGTATCAGATGCGCTGTTTTAAGAATATTTCTTGAAAGTCTGTAGTGAATAAGGAATTTTATGACACAGCAAAAAATTGAGCTGAAAGCTAATGGTGTCACTGGAAATCACATATCCAGCCTTGGTCTGGACGGTCTTTTCTCACTAAAATTACTTTAATTTAGTATTTGAAATAACATTGAATAAATCATAGAATTAGAACACTTTTATAATTCTATAGGTATATGTGACAAATAGGCAAGAAAATAGTTCACTTGTATATTACTTTAAGATAATGAGCTTCTGATAGGGAATGTTTTCTCTAAAGACAAATAGCTAAATTTTTAAAGAGAGATTTCATCAAGATAATCCTGTAGGCTTCCTAAATACTGTACTGTCATTAATTTTATCTTAATTAAAAAAAAAACCCTTTAAAAAGGCACTTGGCATGCTGCTACCTTTTAAACATTATAAAAAATGATGTCCAATCAGTGGAAAAATACCGAATTGGCAATATATTAATAAACTAGAATAATTAACAATGCAGCCTTCAGATTAAGGCTGTGAGACAGCATGTGATATATTTTAATGATCTTTAGAAAAATATAAATCTACTGTTAATTAGTCAGCTCATAGCAGAGCTGCAATGCCAGGGAAATGTAGGGCAGAATCACAGAGTGATTACAATGTCACAGTGACTTAGCTGCTGTGTCCTGTATGCTAGTCCTGGGTAGTGTAAGTAGTTTAACTCTACCATTCTTTCTTCCCAATCCTAGTACAGTATTTTTAATGCTTTAATTAAAAATAATGCATGCATATAATAAATCTGCAAACCATGCAAACAGATATAAAATGAAACATAAACACCTCCCTATTCTTTCTCCTCCAAACTTCTGGTTTTTGTGTTTCCCTCCAGATGACTTTTAATGTGTCTACTCACATTGCCTGTCTAGGCTTTTTATATATTGTAAATGATATTAAGCATTTTCCTGAACTTTGTTTTTTTGTTAATAACATATATTGGAGATATTTTCATATTAAATAAAAATAGTTGCATATTATCCCACTATATAGTTTATTATTTTATTTCTTCCCTCTCTAAAGATATTTTGATTGTTTCTAACTAATTTATACATTTGTTATGAGAAATAATATTGCAGGAAGCCATTAATGCATAATCTTGGTGCAGTCTTATGGCTTTTTTCTATAGAGTAAGTTGCTAAGGGTGGAGTTGCTGGGTCAAAGACTATGACACTTTTAATATTGCCAGCTTTTGCCAAATTATTCTACAAGAAGATGGTCCCAGATGTTTTCTTCCTTTGGCAAGGGAGCACCAGGTGGAAGTGCTGAGGGAAGCCTGAAAACAGCACGTCTCTCCGGGTTTCAGTAGGTGTTTAGAAAAGGCATTGGGGGGCTTTTGTTCTCTTTCCCAGGCAACCTTGACAAGAAAATGGCAATTTATGGGAGATCTTTTAATGAGAAATAGTCAATGGAAGCCCAAACATTCTTATTTTACCACAAACAATGTTGTCTGGTGCACTCATATAAAATTGTTGTTAAATTAATTGCTGCTCTGCATCTTCAATAAATTCCACAGATGGCATAAGAATGTATTGACCTCCCCTTTTGTCTGATATGAAAGTGGGTTTTCCGGTAGACGTAACACGGATACTGTCCTCTGGCTCTAAGGCATTATACTGTGCCTATTTAATTATGTTTTATTAAAAAATAATAGACAGTACTCAGCTTCTAGTTCTTCACTCTGAATTGCAATTTCTCTTCATTATTAAAATCCTTGAATAAATGTGTTTTGTGGATTTTATTATTTTTCATGTCCCATTACACTTTCTCAAAAGAATGTCTCTGCACATATAATGGCATTGCTTAAGTGACCAAAGACTTTTCAGAAGAAAGCGTTATGCAAATCTATCTGCAATAATAATTAAATCAAACTGTCTAGCACAGTTCTAGGGGACCAAAATGGGATTCTTTAGGTGATCAGAAGGCTAGTCCTCCTTCTTAGTATCATAAGGCTTTGAAATAAGTAAGAGGATTTCAGATTTATACCAAAGCAAAAGAGTGATAATCTAGGTATCATTCATAGGAGACCCAATTTAAGAGAGAAGAAAAACACTCAACCTAGGCAGAAAATGCAACTTTTTATCTCCAGTGCTGTTAAGTAATTGTTTAAAAATGAGCTTATTTTGTTCTCAATTGAGATAATACAAAATTGCATTTTGAAGTAAGAATAGGCAAGAATGAGACATATGCAATTTAAAGCATCTTAGAAGTTGATTTTGGCAATTACGTGGAAAGTAGCAATTCCGACAACCCAACTGCACAATAAAGGTAAAGGGACAACATAGTGCCCACTGGAGAATAAAGCCACAGCACCCATGTCCTCAACCAAACGTACAAAACAACAACCCAGCTGCACTGGCCTCTCCAATGGCTACCTTGAAAATGGTATGTGGCCTTCAGTTTTCTGTACATATTTATAAATGGTATAAAGTTATTATAGATTAAGAATTAAAGAAAACAATGATATAGGAGCTTAGTATGAGGAAGGGACAGAAAGGAATTCACTTTTTCAATTTAGAGATGATTGTGATAAAGCAGAATTCAGATGCATTTCTTTCTTTTTTTTTTTTTTCTGATACGGAGTCTTGCTCTGTCACCCAGGCTGGAGTGTGGTGGCACAATCTTGACTCACTGCAGCCTCCACCTCCTGTAGCTGGGATTACAGGTGCCAGCCACCATGCTCAGCTAATTTATGTACTTTTAGTAGAGATGGGGTTTGGCCATTTTGGCCAGTCTGGTCTCAAACACCTAAAGTGATCTGCCCACCTCGGCCTCCCAAAGTGCTCAGATTACAGGCGTGAGCCACTGCATCCTGCCAATTCAGACTCATTTCAGTTTAAAGATGGTTGAGATGGAGTACAGTTTAAGCACATTTTCTTTTATGCAAAACCTGGCCCCCAATTTAAAAATATTTAACTATAAAAAAATACCACATGAAATTGCCTTAAAAATTGTTCTTGGAGTTGGTGGTGGTAAGAACGGAGCTTCTTCCAATTTAGGAATGTTAAGCTGGTAACATATCTATTTGTCAGAATATCTGCTGCAATCCCACTCTGAGCCACAGTATATATTTCACCTATATTATGTACTAGAGCCTCACTTAGATTTTGTTTCTAAATAGCTGCAGCTCCTGTTCACACCCGTTTCACCTCAGTTGCTAGAATGTTGTCTATATTAGGGAACTGGCTACATGGTCTCTGGAATTTGGGTTAAGCCATAGGGCCATATCAGGGTTTTAGGATTTAAGGCTCAGATCTGGAGTTATTGACTGTATACTTTAGTTACATTGTGAACTTAAAAAAAAAATTCTCGGCTGCTTTCATAATGACCCTCACTTATCAATATTATTGCAAATTATAAAGAGATGTCTCACAAATACTTGTGCAACAAACTCAGTAACCCAGGAAAGATAATTTGAAGTCCATATAGCACAATAGATAATATGCAGATATAATTATTTATGATTTTAACCATTGGAAGATGACCTCAATGATTCATAACATTGGTAATTTTGCTGAGACCTGAATTTTTTTCAGACAAGCTGTAAGGTCTGTATACAGGAGCACGTCACTTAGCTCAGTGCCGCTTAAATTTTAATGGGGATAGGAATCATCTGGAGATTGTGTTAAAATAAGAATCCTGAATCAGTGTTTCAGGGTGGGACCTGTAAGTTTGCATTTCTAACCAGTTCCCAGGTGAGGCAAACACTGCTGGTTCATGGAACATGCTTCAATTAGCAAGGACTTAGCTAACAGGTGTGCATCCCTGACTGTCCAGGAGCTCAGTATTGCTTTTTTTTTTCTCTCTCTCTCTCTTTTTGATCTTAAGTATGCAGTAAGATGTCAGGATATGTTTTAGGGATGTTTTAAGCTGACATTTTAAAAGTATTTTCTAAGTGTGAAAGCTCTTGTTTCTCATAATGGCTCCCAATTTACAGATGAAAGTGAAGCTTAGGGAGGTTACTGCTGTTGCCTGAGATAAGCCAGCTAGTAAAGTGGCAGCACCACAATTTAAACATATGCAGTGTTTCTTATACATTGTCTCATATGATTTGTAACATATTTCATCAATGGAAATAGAAAATTAGTTTGAATGGAGAATTTAGTTTGTGATGTTCTGGAGACATCAAGGATTTTAATTACCCATATGTTTAGTGATTATGTAAGTACTTAGGAAATATGATTTTATAATAGTTATTTCTCTATGATTAGTAAGAGAAGAGGGAAAAATCAAAAGTAAATCTTCTAGTATTTCGTATTAAAATGAAATGTGTATGCCTATTATTGAAAGCATAACTTTTCATTACTTTGTAAGACTTCATACATGGAACAGAAACTATCAATTCTGATAGTTCAGGAAGAGAAATTTCAAAAGCAAATGCCTTCTGGTTGGATTTTACTTGTTTTTGATAAATAAAGAATAGAGAAAACACACTGAGTTAAAATTAAAAGTATCTATGTAAAAGGTTTAGACCTACCTTGATTATTAACTGGAATTCTTAGAAGTCAGTGATAATGTCGAATTCTTCTTTGGTCCCAAAAGCTTTTTGAAAAACTTTTCTTTACATTTGTATTAGATGAGGTCTTTTTCTGAATACTTGTGGAATAAATCACATCTGTCTAATTTCCCAGGCCTTTAGTAGCTTGGGGTAGTCCCATAAAATAGTTTTAGTTTATGCTGGGTGGTTCTGCTGAGAAAGATTGTGCTGTCTCAATGCAAAATTAAACTGTTCTCTTCCAACTTGTTAACTATTAGTACTCCAAATACGATGAAGTCTTTGTTTTTTTTATTGTAAATCTTGTAAGGATAAGAAGATTAATAAAAGCAATACAGCATTAGAAAAATTTAGGATAATGCATTTTCCATAAGCTTAACTTCTCTTTCCTCCTTTGTAAAAATTCTCCCATTAATCCTTCCTCGTAGAATTGTGCTCTGTACCACTTGATTCTTGAAGTTATTTTAAAGATGGTGATTTACAAGGAGTTAGTGAGCCCGCACAAATATATCTCATGATGCTAAAAGCAAGTGTTTGCAGATGGCCCTGGATATTCTCTTGGTCTTTGTTTAACCTATTCAAGCCTTTTTAACCAGTTTTAGGATATTGTAATTTACTGTAGCATTATTTGTAAGAAAACACAAACCAAGAGCCTTTTGTTTGTTTGTTTGTTTGTTTGCCTAAATCATTATTATTAGATTTAGGAGGCTAATCCTTTATTATGCTTTGAGAAAGAGGAAAAAATGCAGTAGATAACGTATTCTTTTCATACTATTTTGTGGGTAAGCATCATGCTTTTAAACCAATAAAAAAATGAGCTTTCCTGACCACAAATTAGGACCTTTTACGGCAAAGCAATGTTAATAATTCGCCCATCTATGTTCATGCTTGTAGTCTACCTCCAGCATTTCTCAGGCCCTGAATCTCAGAAAGGTCACTTTTATTTCTTAGTTGGAAAGAAGGGAGGGAGTGGGCTGGTATAGAACAAGATGCACATTGTACTTGTTCACTGATTTATTTAATGTATTAATGTCTCTTCAGACCACAGTTCCTAAATGCTGAAGGACTTAGAGCTGGGGGAGACAATCAGTAGAATATGAAATGGGATGTAAGAATTGGATTAACTGTCCTGGCTGAGTTTTCCATGTGCCTAGGAATGAATTTATGAGCTGGAGAATATTTCTTGAAATGATCTAGAAATAGTAATATGGAATGATTGTTCTAGGCATATAGAAATTAAGTGAAATAAAGGTGAAATAAGTGTTTTACCACCAAATATCTTTTCTGTAATCATGTAATGGTCAAGTATGCAATGCAATGGTGCAGTATTAAGGTGTTGATAAAGCACCTGAAATAAGTAAAATTCTACCATCAGGGAGATCAGGCAAGGTATTCCTGAGAAAAAGATGTTGGAGTTGAGTTCTAATAAAAAATAGCATTTAACTAGTGAAGAGGAGAAAGAGGAATGTGTAAGCTGAGAGATTGAATATTCAGAGGCTCTGTGTAGTGAGGTGTCATGTTGTGAAAGGTGGCAGAGGTGACTGCTGTGCAGAGAGTCATACTATGAGTTTCAGCTGAAGAGGTAGGATGGCGTTAAATTAAGGAGTTTTATTATTACGCCAAGGGCAGTGGATTGCTGGTTACACATTTTAGGCAAGACAGGTCTGTTTTTGAAGTTATACAGGGAAGAAATGATGGTAGCTTCATTAGGTGGAAGTTATGGGAAATGATTAGGTTTTGGATGTACTATATTTTGAAGGTAGAGCCAACAGGAATTTTAATGGTGAGAAATGGGTATGAGTGAAAGAGAGGAGTTGAGGATGATTACAAGGTTTTTGTATCAAGGAAGTAAGAGGACAGAGTTGCTAATACCTGAGATTGGAAAGGCTGGTAATTGAGCTGGATTTGGGAGAGTGGCTAAGATCAAGTTCAATTTAGACATGTTATGTTTAAGAGGTGTGTTAGCCATTTAAGTGGCAATGTAGTGCAACTAGTTGGATATTTGAGCCTGGAGTCTGGAATAAAGGACTAAAGTGGAGGTAAAAATCTGGATGGTTGAATTTTTTTTTCATTATGTTTGTTGACAATTTCTATTTTTTTGTTGTGTTTTAAAACATATTTAATGTATTTTATTTTTATAGATTCAGGGGGCACATGTACAGGTTTGTTACATGGATATATTGTATAATGCTGAAGTTTCAGCTTTTAGTGTGCCCATCACCTGAATACTGAACATGATACCCAGTAGGTAATTTTTCAACCCTCACGCCCCTTCTACTCTTCCCTTTTGAACTCCCCACTATCTGTTATTTCCTTTTGTACGTCCATGTGTACCCATTGTTTAGCTCCTACTTATAAGTGAGAACATGCAGTATTTGATTTTCTGTTTCTGAGTTATTTTAGTTAGGTTAATGGCCTCCAGCTCCATCTATGGCTGCTTCAAAAGATGTGATTTCATTCTTTTTTACAGTTGTGTAGTATTCCATGATGTATATATGCCACACTTTCTTTATCCAGTCATTACATTGATGGGCTGGATTGATGGACAGTTATGTTAATTCCATGACTTTGCTGTTGTGAATAGTCCTGCTATATATTTTAATATACTATAATAATTTCTTTTCATTTAGGTAGATACCATATAGTGAGATTGCTGGGTTGAATGGTAGTTCTATTTTTAGTTCTTTGAGAAATCTCCATATTGTTTTCTGAAGAGGTTCTAATAATTTACGTTCCCACTAACAATGTATAAACATTTCTTGTTTTTTAATTTTGTTTGTTTGTTTGTTTGTTTTTGAGACGGAGTTTCGCTCTTGTTGCCCAGGCTGGAGTGCAGTGGCGCAATCTTGGCTCACCGCAACCTCCGCCTCCCGGGTTCAAGCAATTCTTCTGCCTCAGGCTCCCAAGTAATCCCAAGCTGGGATTACCGGCATGCAGCACCACACCCGGCTCATTTTGTACTTTTAGTAGAGATGGGGTTTCTCCATGTTAGTCAGGCCAGTCTTGAACTCCCGACCTCAGGTGATCTGCCCACCTTGGCCTTCCAAAGTGCTGGGATTACAGGCATGAGCCACCGCACCAGGCTGTGTATTTGTTTTATGAAATAATTTTTCATGTATGTTGTCCACTTTAAAAATTAATTATTTGCATTTTTCTTACTCATTTGTAAGAGGTCTTTTTATGATAAAACTTATCTAATATATATGTTGCAAATATGTTTTCATAATGTTTCTTTTGTTTTTCAATGAAAAATATGTAAAATTTCACGTAATTGATTCTTTTAGTCTTTTCCTAATAGTTCTGCCTTCAGTGTTGTCATGCTTTAAAAGGCCCTGTCCTCTTTTTATTCATCAAATATTTACTATCCAGCCTCTGAATGTCCCCTTCTTTTTTTATTTTAAATTTAAACAACCTGGGATTTATTTTTTGTGTACATGAGATAATAATCTAGTTAACTTTTTTTTGGTCAAACAAATTAACCAATAATTCTAGTACCATTTGTTAAATGATTATTTTGTTCACTTATGAACATTACACCTTTCTGTTACATTAGATGTTTACATATTTACATGTATTTGAGTAGGTTTTAGGATTTATCTCATTCTCTATTAATTTATTTGTGTCTTAGGATACTAATTCTACAGTATTTTATCATAGCTTTCTAGTATGAGTTATTATCCAGGAGAGCAAATCTACCATCACTCGTCTTTTTAAAAATTTCTTTGGATAATTTTCTCTTGTTTCTAGATGGCTTTTGTATATCATGATAATTATATGTCTCTAAATTGATTTAATAGCTTGGAATATGTCTTATTCTGGTATCTTTTAAAGATAATTCTCTGATGGACACCATAAAATTTTTTCTGTGGTTATTTGGGGTTTTTAAAAAATCTATATTATTTTGTTTGTTATTTTAATATATTAATGAAAGAAGTCTCATGGGCTAAGAGTTGAAATATTTCGGAGGTGGACTAATTTTGGTGGAGTAACATGTTCAAGGGTATAGCTATGGAAACGGAATGCTTAAGTGATAAGGAAATGAAATCCACTGTATATGAGGAGGCAAGGAGTCAAGCAAATTTAGATTCTAAGTGCTGAACAAATTTTCCAAAGGCCATCTAAAATTTCCCAAAACAAATCCCAACCTAAGGTAGAGAGAAAGATTGTTTTCAGGTTCCAAAGTCCCCAGTAACTCTGCCATAGGTATATGATACGAATTTTAAAAGGTAGTGAAAGAGACGGATGCCATACACATTAAAGGAGGTTGAGTTCTTTCCTGAGGGTGAGAGAGTGGTAATTTGGAAGTGGCACTCCTTCCTACAGCAAGCATACATATGGTGTGGGAAATAAACACTCTAAATGGGAGGACTTCAGAGTAAGCAGCATTGTCTTCACTGAAAATCCAGGTTTCAATGAGAGTGAGGTGTTAGGTTATGGAGGATCTACATGGTCAATGGTTGAGATGGAGGATTGGAAGCCCATTTTATCAGTTGGCATTTACTGTGTAGCAAAACATCCCAGAATTTAATAGCTTAAGAAATAGTTTGGCAGGTTAGAAATTTAGACTGAATTCAGCTGGGATTTTTTTCTTCAATCATGCTGGGCTTGCTTGTATATCTGTTAGTTAGCTGGTGTGTCAGTTCAGATGGTTGGTTTATGACACTCTCACTTTTCGATGCTGAGATGACTAGAGCATCTTTCCATGTCATCTTTCAACTAGCATGTTAGCTCAGCCTTCTTTATATGATAGTTGCAAATTTCTAAAAAGTCAAAACTTGCAAAGCCTCTTTACTCCTAGGCAGGAATTCAGACATTGTTACTTCTACCACATTCTATTGGCCTCCTCAAGTCACAAGGCCAGTACAGGTGATGGAGAACCTGTAAAGTCACATTGAAAGGGACAAAGAAACAGGGATAGAAAAACTTGTAGCCTTTTCTACAGTTTTTTAATACCCTGTGAGGATGATTCAGGAGGGAGGAAAGTGAGCAAGGTATGAAGATGAAAGCAGGAATAATGTGTTTGGAAGCTACTTTCAAATGGGGTAGTCATACCCAAGAGTAACAAGATAGGAAGTATGGTGGCCTTCATTGACCTCAGCAACATGATTCTTACTCTGGCTTTGTTTCAGCATTGGGGCAGGATGCATTTTCAGGTAATATCAAGAACTTGGTGAAACCAGTGGTCAGTCACCATGTCTGAGGCCATCTATGTTCAAGCAATACATGGTATGTCAGAGGCATGAAGTTTTACTTTTGGGGCAGTGTTTCAAATAGAACAGAATAGAAATATGATATAGTACCTTTAAAGAATACTAGTTCAGAAACACAAAGGTCAGAAGTGGTTAACCCTTTGAATTTCAGTCATGAGGTGGAAATAACAGTGGTCCTGAGTGAGTGGCAGTTAAGGAATGAGGCTTCTGAAGAAATTCTAACCCAGCTTTATATTGAAAGCTGAACTGAGTTTATATTGAATGAATTGAGTTAATCTGTTTCATACAGGGCAAGGTTCATCTGTCATTTATCTCTGTATCTTCATCACTTGACAGTATCTAATGCATAGTAGATGCCCAATACATGTTGCAACATTCATTGAGTAAGGTGTTTCATATTTTGACCCCTCTTTCATGGATTTTTATTGTACTCAATTGCATCTGTAAATATTAACAGTAAGTTGAGATTATTGTGCTTGCGCATCTTCTGCAAAAATAATAATTGTACTTTTATTCATTGTGTCAAGTTTATTCTTTTTATATTTTGAAGTGGGGATTTAATAAAGCAGAGTAACTAGGAGTTATGTGTGGCACAACCAACACAGCGAATAGCATTTAGAAAACGCAACCATCCTGAACAGAATAGAAAGGACTGTCCTTTCTAAATTCTTTATTTTGTCAAGAATGTTGCAAACTTTCACTCAGGGTGACTTAAGACAATTTCCAGATTTTGAATAGTTTGAGGATAAAAAATTCCCCAAATGATCTAGTTATCACACAAAACATATGAGAAACTACCAAAAATTCTCAGCTGGGACAGTCTCTTTAGATTACGCTGAAAACAGTGATGAGTTTTCATATACCTTGTGTGTGTATGTGTGTGGCGGGGGAGTGTGTGTGTGTGTGTGTAATCTCCTGTATCAAAAGACAATTTTTCACCAGATGAAACAAAATATGTTCTACCAGATAAAGTATTAATGTCCCTAACTAATATCCCCATATCCCTTCTGCTTTTTCAACCCAGTTCCCACAGTGCTACTGGATCATCTATCAAAATTATAATACTTAATTACATCATACTCCAGTTCAAAACCCTTCAAACACTTCCTAATGCTTTGAGGATACACATCAAAGTCTTTCACATTTACTGTTCATTTGTTTCCAGGTTTCACTATTATAAAAATACTGCCACAGTATTTTTCAGGTCAGTATTAAAAAGGAGAATTTATAGGTTGAACATTGTACAAAATATGCAGAATTTTGGCACCTATTACCATATTATTCTCAATGGTTTTACCAATTTACACTTCAGCAACATCTGGAAGTGCCTGTTTTTTTCAGCACCCACACTAGCACAAGGTGTTATCATCATTAAAAAGAAAATCTTTTCTAGTTAGATGTATGGTATATTGTATCTTTCTAGTGTGACTTGAGCACAGTGAATGGTGTGAGAATCTAAGTAGAGTATTTTGGGATAAGGATGGGGAGAGAAGCAGTGACCAGATAATGTGGGCTGTTGTGGTGTTAAAAGACTTCGATATTTATCCCCAAAGCATTAGGAAGCATTTGAAGGGTTTTAAACGGGAGTATGACATGATTAAGTATTATAATTCAGTAGGCGAGCCACTGTGGGAACTGGGTTGAAAAAGCAGGATGGGATATGGGAACATTAGTTAGGGGCATTCATACTAGTCCATTTCAGAGAGGCTACAGTTTGAGGTAGGAAATGACTGTGGAATTGGAAAGAAGCAAATGGATTCGTATATATGAGAGGTAGAATATGTTGCCTATAGTAATTGGATTTCAAGGACCAAGGGAGAGAGGCATATCATGGATGAATTTCATATTTCAGACTTGTGCAAAGTGGATGGATGGCTATGATGATTATACTATTTATTGAAGTAGAGAATACTGGAGGGCAATTAGATTTTGAGTTCACTTTTGGCCATAAGGAGTTTGAGATGCCCATAGACATCTAAGAGGAAATATTGAAGTTTGTTGCATAAGTCTGATGTTTAGAAGAAAGGTCTGAGCTGGAGCTATAAATATGGGTGTCATTGGTGTAGATGCTAACTGGAGCCATAGGAATGATCAGAGTCACTTAAGGAGAGAATATATTGAGAGGAAAAGGGAGCAAGGAGCAGTCCTTGAGGTACTCCTACATTTAAAATCTATAAGAAGTGGAAGAGCCTGTAAAATAACATGAGAAAGAGTTGCCAGAAAATTACACAGAAAATCAGAAGTATTATTGTACCAAGGAAGCTAAAGGAAGAGTATTTTAGGAGGTAGGAAGTGATACATGGTAGCAGAAGGTGCTAAGAGGACATCAATGATGCTTTTAACATTTTTTATGAGATTCAGAATGTGGAGATGGTTGTCTTTTTTAAAGCATTTTTGGTGGCCTGGAAAAGGACGCCAGATTAGAGTGGCTGTGGGGAGTGGGTGGGAGAAGGGGTGATGCTTTTTGCAATACATTTGGCTGTGAATGGGAGGATGCATGGGGTAGTTACTGGATGCACATGTAGGGCTCAGGAATTTTTTTAATTTTTTAAGATGGGAAGAAATAGGAAGAGACAATATTTAAATGCTGATGGCACGTATTCACTAGCATTTGAGAGAGAAAAAGAGAGAGAAAATGAGAGATAAGGAGAGAGAGAAAGGTTGAACATGTATAAGAGAGGAATTAACTGATGGTGCAAATAGGGCAGAAAGCATAGGATTCAGAGCATAATTGAAGAATTCGAACTTTGCTAGGAAAGGAGACACCTTCTATGTACAAACAGAAGGGAGGGAGAAATGGATGGATATTGATGCAGCTAAATGTGTATTTGATAGAAAGGAAGTTAAAGGAGTTGAGTCCATGTCTGACAGCTTTTGTTTTTTCTGTGAAGTGAGATCTAAGGTGAATTACTGGAGAGAAGAGGCAGAGTCACAGGTGAAGTTAACAGTGTACCGAAAACAGCCCATGAAAGTTTTGAGGTCCCAGATAAAGTTGATAACCAGAAGTTGTGCTATTCATCCATCTGGTTATACAATTTGTCCCTAACCTTTTACAACCCAGATGTAGGCATGAGAAAAGTAGATTGATTCATCCATCGTTAGGATTTTGATCTCCAGACAAAGAAGTTAATGATAGTATCAAAAACTAACTAAACTTTGAGACTTAAAGATATTTATATTGGATAGAGAAGAAAGTAAGGATAGTTGAGGGCTCATCAGTAGGGAGAAAGTTAGTTCATATGGAACAGGAAGCACTAACAAGGTTGAAGAATAAATGCAGTGGGAATAGTTGAGGCCACCTGGAAGAATAAGAAGCTGGAATGGGAAAGTAAAAGGTCTGATTGAGAGCTTTTAGAGGTGGAGTAGTTTTGAGTGATGACAAAACTGTGGCTATACAGGTAAAGTGGAGGTGAGGGGAGAGCCAAGGAGTAAAAAGGCCAGGGTGCAGGATAGGTCAATCACATGGATGTCAGAATCCTTCAGAATGTTGCAGACATTGTGACAGAGAGAGAGACTGTGACCAGATTTCAAAGTCAGCAGTGAATGAAGGGGAGTGTCTATGAATGTGTGTATGTGCATGTGCGTGTGTGTATGTAGGTAGGGAATTTAATGACGGGAACCTGAAAGAGCAGATATTTTTTGTGGGGGTAGAAAAGTGACAACAACTGTACCTTCTGACTCTGAAGTACAGATGTGTATTTCATGGTATATATGAAGTATCCATGGTGGTAAAAGAATTTGCAGCTACCCTTTGGGAAGTCCATGGGGCATGTGGTGTTCTTGCTGGAATAACAGGATTCAGGGAGAGCCAAAAGGCCATAAGGTTGAAGCTATGCAAAGGGTAGAATTAGAATTCCAGAGAACTGAGTGAGTTTGGCAGTGAGGAGGAGGTTGGTGGGATGTGTGTAGTTATGTGAAAAGAGAATCACAATGCATTGGAAATGTTAGTGTTCAAAACAAATGAATGGATCTAGTTCATTGGGTTGGTTCACAAAGTGGGGGAAAAGAAGCAAGAGATATTTGAGTTTTTGTTGAATTAGCTGCCTCACAGAGTTGTCGATAGTAAATCTTAATGGAAAAAAATGTGGGTTTGCAGTGCTTTTCACAGTATTTTATATTTTTCATTGCTGAGAGAATAGATTTGTTTACTTTATACTTTTCAATAGGTTATTATTTGCACAAAGGAAAGCTATTGATTTTGGTCAACTTGTTTTATAACTCAATTATTGGTTCAAATAGTTACTCAGGGTTTCTCTTATTTCTAGGTAGTCAATCATCTTCCATAAATAGCAGTCATTTTATCTTTTTTCCAATATACCTCTAATCATATTAATTCTAACAGTAGTGATGCTTCTAGGAATCCCTGGCATATAAAGTGTTTGAAATATCATAAGGACTGTGGTCTAGGTTAAAACTAATGAAACTTAAACTAGGATGATGGCAGTTGAAATAAAAGAAAAGGAATGACTTTAGTAATGTAAATACTTGGCATTTATCTGAATGTAGACTCTAGAGGAGGGAGCTGATGATGATTCTAACATTTCCATTTAGGTAACAGAGAAACAAAAGGGTGATATCTCATGCTTTACCTTTAAGTATAGGATTATTAATATTTCCATAGAGTAAATGTTTGAAAAAGCAGTAACTGGTCCAGAGACTATACATCATTGTAATTCTTTTGCCACAAACTACCAAATTATATCCAGTTATATTAGATTTGTTAGCATATTTCTTCACAACACTGAATATCATACTTTAAAATTGTGTTGTTAGATTGATAGAAGTAAAATGATGTCTCGTTCTTCCTTTATTAATTCTTCAAATAGCTTTAAAATAGCTTTCCCTATATTTCCAAATATCTCCCAATATTCTCTTAATTCTTCACTTGATACCATTTTAATGTTTAAATACATTTGGGATGTATCTTTGCTTATAGTATGGAATACAGAAACGAATTTTCCACCTCAAAATGTGAGCTAGTTTTTGCAACTCTAGATGGCTAACATTTTGAAAGAGGGAAATGTGGCCTAGGAAGGGTGTGAAACAAAAATTTAGTCATTCAAAATATTTATTCATTAGGGGAAATTTTAACAAAACATTCCTTACAAATACATTAGGTGAAAATTCCTCACCATGATATTTAAAGCTCTAAACCAGCAATAGAAAACTGGCTGCAAGCCAGCCATTGTAATACTAGTTCATATTTACAGAATGCTTTCTATGTACCAGCCCTGTAGCAATCATTTTATATATACAGATTATATATATATATCTTACCTCATTAAATCCCTAGAATAGTCCTATGAGGTGAGGATTATTATTCCCTGAAACAAAGTATTAAAAATAGGGCATGTGAGGTCAACACAGCCAAGTCCTAGGCCATTATTTATATGGCATTTCACTGACCTACTCACTGTTCCCCAAAAATACTTTGCAGCTTACCCATTCCATATTTTGCTTTGCTGCGTTTTGAGCCACATTGACAATACTGTGGATGATAAAGACAGAGAGGGAAAAATAGTAAAAGAAAAACCAGTTAGAATTTATCCAGATGTTCTTTCATCCATTAATTGAACAAATACCTCAGTGTTCCCATGTACTAGGCAGTAGTCAAGGGGGAAGGGACAAGGTAGGGAATGAAAGTGATAGAAATATCTGGCCTGCGTAGAGCTTACCCTCTGAGGGTGGATGGAGAGTAGTAAATGCTAATGATGTGAAATTGAAAGTACCATGAAGGAAAACAATCAGGATAAGGTAGGGGCATGATAGGGACAGGGTGCTGTGGTCTCTTGAGGAGGCGACATTTGAACTGAGACCTGAATTAAGTGAAGGAGCCGGCCATGTAACTATTTGGAGGACAGTAAGTTCAAGACTCTAGGGCAGGCATGTGCTTGATTCTGTGTTCAATGAACTGCATAAAGTTCAGGCCAGCAGGGTTGCAGCGTCCAAGGGTCGTGGTGGGAGACGCCATGCAAAAGGAGCTGTGGCTTACAAGACCGTGCAAGACCTTCTGGGGACCTGAAATCTTATTTTCTGCCTGTTTGCAATGGTTTAGGAGATAGCAAGAGGACTTAGGCCTAGGCAGTGGCAGTGAGCGGGGCATCACCGTGGCAGTACATGACTTGGCAATCGACTGAAATAGTTTGGAGGAGGAGTAATGATGCCAACAATTTCAGTTGTAACTGTGAGAATGATGGTGCTGGGTAGAGAGGAAAAGATGATTTTCAGGAGACAAGGATGCAGTCTAAAGGTAGGAAGTTGGGGAACATATTTAGGGAATATATTATGTATTTAGGGAATGTAGCAAGGAAACTAAATGCAGAGTGCTGGGGAACTTTTCAGGACTTTCTGAATTGAATTTTATTTATCTCCTAAGAATGTCATTCCAGGTATTTGGAAGCAAAAGCTGTAGTGAGGTGGTAATTAACTGCAGTCAGATCTGGATTGGAGTTCAGTCTGTCACTTTTCAGCTTTGTGAACCTGGGTGAATCATTTAAGATCACCTTGATTTCATTGTTTCTCTATTTGTTTATTTGTTGTGAGCTTAAATGAGATACTGTATGTCAGTCATACTGCTGGAAAAAAATAAGCCTTTTTAAATGGTGTTATGATAATTATGAAATACTGCACAGTTATTTTAGATAATGTATGTGAAAGAGCTTTTTGAATATGAAAATAACTAGGTGTGAGGTATTAGCTATGTTCATAAAACCACACTCCTTGTCTTCTCTGTATTGCTTTCTAATTATAGTAACTCCTCTGCTAACTTTATAATTTGAATCAATTCAAGAGTAGCCAGTGTTTTATAGAAATGTGTGTAAAGTAGAATGGCAGCATAACATTTTTGCAAGAAGTTCAAATTGAAGGCTCAGCTCAAGCTTGTCCAACCTGTGGCCCACGGGCTGCATGCAGCCCAGGATGGCTTTGAATGTAGCCCAACACAAATTTGTAAACTTTGTTAAAACATTATGACACTTTTTTGTGACTTTTTTTTTTTTAGCTCATAAGCTATTGTTAGTGTGAGTGTATATTTTGTGTGGCTCAAGATAATTCTTCTTCTTCCAATGTGGCCCAGGGAATCCAGAATATTGGACACCCCTGGCTTAGATAAATGCCCCAAATAACTAAAGCTTAGAATAGCTTATTTTTGTAATTTTATAGCAAAATTATCAGTTTACATATTTTAAGTTTTGATGAACTCATTATTTTTATTTCAAATTTCAGTGAATTAAGGAGACTTCCTTAAAAGTTAAAGTACAAATGTTTTAACAACATATATAAGTTTCAGAATTATAGACTCCAAAGTAAACACAGGAGGGAGGGACAGAAAAAAGGGAAGACAGGAAAATATGAAATGTTATCTTGGTCATCCATACATGTGGATTTTTAAGCTTATTATCAGTTCTTGCTTTTATGTTTTACAGACATGCTTTTTGAAAATGAAATGAAGTTGAAATGTAATACATACACAAATTTGTATAGCTAAATACTAGATTTTGATGAATATTTTAAGAAGGAAGATAAACTATGATTCAAATTTCCAATTAAATATATGTGAAATATGTATCAAAGGCTCAGATACTTCCAGCACCTGAGCCACTCCCTTAAGGCCATCATTTCTAAAATAGAATATAAAGAACAAAATATCATTTAACGGAAAAACCAACTTAATTAGTCTATAAATGTCTTTAAAGGAAAACTGATTCATCCAAAACCAAAACAACATTTATTATTTCTGCTATTTCTTCCTTCCCCCTTCCACTTAGTCTGTAATTATATTTCAGCTCCTATTACCCTGTCTCTCATCCCTTAATGACCCCAATTTTCTGATTGGTTCTCTTTGACCTCCACAGAAGCCTGCTTAAGCATTCAATGAATTCTTTATGAAATTCTGTGGTAATTTAATCTTCTGTGTGAGGTCCTTTTAGAAGCTTTATTCTGCTCTTTTGGACTGAAAGGCTGTTGCTAAATCCTGATTTTTATTTTTTCTTCTGACAGTAGTGCTTTAGGGAGAACCCAAACACCTTCTTGAATATTGCTTACTCTTTTATAATGACTCTTGCTATAATTTTCTTTTGATATTGGATCACTTTTAGAAATGCAGAATTTCAGTTAAGTCATTTAACTTAATTGCATTCACAACCTGTTATCTTCATTTTTCCATTTAAAATATGTTTCTGCTTGCTATCAAGACTTATATTTCTGGATATGTGCGGTATATCTATTATATAGAAACATAATAGAAGGTTTTCCTGAACGCTTTGACCCGCACTGTTGTTCTTGGCTGCTATTACCCTGGGAGAGTGGCAGCTGAGAAAAGAATGAAAAAGATTCCTTTTCCATGAGCAATGGTCACCTGAATCTAGTGAATTTCTTGGTAGTTCAAGTTCCCAATTACTTCATGTTCTAATAGTGAAATTTTAGCCTTGGTAATCCTTACCTGTTCATAGAATAAACTGATTTTTAGAGTTGCTTCATTTTGCTTGCTTTACATAATATGGCTGCATGAAAGCCTTATAAAGCCCATAAAACTTCTTGTTTCCTGTCAGTGAATCCTCTAGCATTAATGTATTAGGAAACATCTACCATCTTTTGAAAGTCTCCAAATAATTTGTCCTAACATGTAATTTTAAAAGAATGTACCTTCCTATCTGTCTACCTGCTAGGTAATTATGGGCTTCTCTGAACAGCATCTGCTGCAGAGTCCATAAAGAAACATACTTCCCCTTTTCATTTGATCTTTAACAGTACACATTTGTTAACTTTATTTTTGAAGAATGTAAAAGGAAAACATAATCTCTGCTGGGTGGTTTTCTTTCTCTTTGAAGAATGACACTTTTCTAGTTCCAACCTTTGCAGAGGAGGGGACTTTTCTTATTGCAATGAGCTTGGTGTATATACTCTCTCTTTTTATATGTTCCCTCTCTTTCTCTATATATCTTGATATATATACCTTTTCTAATTTCTCCTTTTTTTTTCTCCCTGCTAGTTTCCTGGTTTACGTATTTCTTCTCCTGCTCGTAATAATTACCTTGTTGTTTGAGAATATTTTCCAACATTTCTGTTCCTTGTATACTCACTAAGTGACAGGTTTTACGTAGTGCACAAGATAGTGCTTCTTACATTGTGTCTGTTTCTTTTTATGGTGTTATTTGCCCTTCTACATAATTACATTTTGAATGATGGCATCACCTCTTCTCTTCTCATGTCACAGTTTGCCATTGCTGTAAGAACGCCCTCAGTAGACCCCTCTCCTTTCCTCCTCCGAGGGGGACTTCACTTCATTATTCGTGTTAGCTACACATAATGGCATCTTGGAAATACATGTAATAATCCTCAAATGACATCAGTTTTTTCTCAGTCTCTCTTCTAAGGAGGTGACAAAATAGTTTCTTCTATAAAAGATGGAAATGTTAAAAGAAATAACATGTGTGAGCAAGAAGAGGTGTCATCTGACACCTGCTTCAGTGCTGCAGTAATTTTTGATGTGTGCTACATATGTCCAGGTTGGGAAATGCCAGAAGGAAAGGAAAATGGCCAAAAGTATATTAAAATAGAATTAGGAAAAATAATAAGGTAGTGACAAAAATTTGCATTCTTTCTTACACATAGAAGTATACTTCAGAAAAAGGGTAAGAATATTGAATATGTATAATAAGTAATTTTTTAAAAAGCTGATAATGCATTATTTATCTTCTCACCTTTACAGTAGTTCCTGCTGTACTGACTTCCCGAGGGAAATTTCTTTGGCAGTTTGCCTTTAGCTAAACCTTTAGGGATAGACTGAACTGAAGGGATAGACAGCTTCAAGTGGGTCATTACGTGCCAATCTTTGATTCAAACCCTTGTCAATGTTAATGAAGTGTCAGACTTAGTCCTTTTGGAGTCATCTTTTTGTTGAGAAAACTGATTTCATCGTGCAAGGCTAATGTGGCATGAGTGATATTAATTTAATACTGAGATCTCTGTATCAGAGTCATTTTGCCTTTTATAGTCTGTAAATTATTTATGAGTATGTGCAAATTCACTATAATGCAATTCCCACAAAGTGGAGAAATAATAACTTTGCTTTTTCTTGGTCTCTTCCTCTCTCTTTGCTAGTCATTAACAGTCCCTCTTTGGTATTTGATTTTATTGTTTGAATACTTAGTTTGGAAAGTTGATCTTAAGTTCTGACTCTTTTAATTTGGTAAATGGATACATCTTTTCATTGCTTCCACACTGTTCAGGTTTGAAGAATTTGGTTTGTGTAAGCCAAAGCTGCCTGACTGTTTCTAATCCTATTTAATAAGCAAAGTATTTAATTTAATTATGGTGCCATGGAAACTAAGCATTTCTCAACACTCAGTCATTTATATGATTCCCTTTTATGCCACATTATAGGTATAGTGATCATGATAGTGCCAACTCTGATTTATTTAGTTTTGATTCATTTGCATGAATAATAATTAGTGTTGTAAGTGTTAACATATAACAAAGTCTGTTGAATACATTAGATAGGATCTTTATTTTTATTATTTCTGTAAAACATAGGATCATGACGAAATGCAAAAGAAGTAGCGATTCCTTGTCTATAAAGATTAAAGGGTAGAGAAAAATAATACTCTTACCAATGACTTAGAAAAGCAAACCTACTATCAAAGGTCTGAAATTTTGTTGTTGTTGTTGAGTACATTTCAGACACAAAGAAATATAAAGGGACACTTTTCTTTGTATGTTAGCCTGTATGAATACTAATGTTATTTATATTCTTAAATTAGAGTGTTGACAAATGAGCACATCAATTTGAAGTTTCTGAAACAGGCTAATGTCACTTCTGATCTTTTGCAGGCACTAAGTGCAGCTAATTTACTCTGTCCACACTTTGTAGGGGATGTTTCTCCTCTGATGAACAATCCTCAATTTACAGATGATACAAGTGAGAGTCAGATAAGGGACAGTATGATGTATTGATTAAAAGCCTGGACTCTGATGCAAGACCACTTGCCTTCGAATCTTTCCATTACGAGTTTGGTTAGTCAAATGAATTTATCGGGAGAAGGATTTTGTTTCTTCTCTACCAGTTAGCATGCAGGTTTCCTCTGCTATACCAAAGGAAAGTCTAAAATTCATACAAGTCCCATTTTTCTGTATGTGCCTCTGAATTTTAGGGAGAGGCAGGGTAGGCTACAAAATGGAACACCAGAAGCGCAGCATATGTCATGGCAACAGCACATGGGTAATAGATAAAACTGATCCATTACTGATAGGGATAATCTGTTTATTCACAGGGGAGACCTTTATGATAATCTACTTCTACAGTTGACCGTTAAACAGTGTGGAGGTCAGGGATGCTGAACCCTGTGCAGTCAAAAATCCACGTATAAATTTGGATTCCTGCCAGATTTTTTTTGAAAGTCTAATGTTAACCAGAAGTCTTAAGATAATGTAAATAGTTGAGTAACACATATTTTGTATGCTATATGTATTATATACTGTATTCTTTTTAATATTATTATTATTATTATTATACTTGAAGTTTTAGGGTACATGTGCACAACGTGCAGGTTTGTTACATATGTATACATGTGCCATGTTGGTGTGCTGCACCCATTAACTCGTCATTTAACATTAGGTATATCTCCTAATGCTATCCCTCCCCCCTTCCCCCACCTTACAACAGTCCCCGGTGTGTGATGTTCCCCTTCCTGTGTCCATGTGTTCTCATTGTTCAATTCCCACATATGAGTGAGAACATGTGGTGTTTGGTTTTTTGTCCTTGCGATAGTTCGCTGAGAATGATGGTTTCCAGTTTCATCCATGTCCCCACAAAGGACATGAACTCATCACGTTTTATGGCTGCATAGTATTCCATGGTGTATATGTGCCACATTTTCTTAATCCAGTCTATCGTTGTTGGACATTTGGGTTGGTTCCAAGTCTTTGCTATTGTGAATAGTGCTGCTATAAACATACGTGTGCATGAGTCTTTATAGCAGCATGATTTATAATCCTTTGGGTATATACCCAGTAATGGGATGGTTGGGTCAAATGGTATTTTTAGTTCTAGATCCCTGAAGAATCGCCACACTGACTTCCACAATGGTTGAACTAGTTTACAGTCCCACCAACAGTGTAAAAGTGTTCCTATTTCTCCACATCCTCTCCAGCACCTGTTGTTTCTTGACTTTTTAATGATCGCCATTCTAACTGGTATGAGATGGTATCTCATTGTGGTTTTGATTTGCATTTCTCTGATGGCCAGTGATGATGAGCATTTTTTCATGTGTTTTTTGGCTGCATAAATGTCTTCTTTTGAGAAGTGTCTGTTCATATCCTTCGCCCACTTTTTGATGGGGTTGTTTGTTTTTTTCTTGTAAATTTGTTTGACTTCATTGTAGATTCTGGGTATTAGCCCTTTGTCAGATGAGTAGGTTGCAAAAATTTTCTCCCATTCTGTAGGTTGCCTGTTCACTCTGATGGTAGTTTCTTTTGCTGTGCAGAAGCTCTTGAGTTGAATTAGATCCCATTTGTCAATTTTGTCTTTTGTTGCCATTGCTTTTGGTGTTTTAGACATGAAGTACTTGCCCATGCCTATGTCCTGAATGGTATTGCCTAGGTTTTCTTCTAGGGTTTTTATGGTTTTAGGTCTAACATGTAAGTCTTTAATCCATCTTGAGTTAATTTTTGTATAAGGTATAAGGAAGGGATTCAGTTTCAGCTTTCTACATATGGCTAGCCAATTTTCCCAGCACCATTTATTAAATAGGGAATCCTTTTCCCATTTCTTGTTTTTGTCAGGTTTGTCAAAGATCAGATAGTTGTAGATACGCGGCATTATTTCTGAGGGCTCTGTTCTGTTCCATTGGTCTATATCTCTGTTTTGGTACCAGTACCATGCTGTTTTGGTTACTGTAGCCTTGTAGTATAGTTTGAAGTCAGGTAGCGTGATGCCTCCAGCTTTGTTCTTTTGGCTTAGGATTGACTTGGCAATGCGGGCTCTTTTTTGGTTCCATATGAACTTTAAAGCAGTTTTTTCCAATTCTGTGAAGAAAGTCATTGGTAGCTTGATGGGGATGGCATTGAATCTATAAATTACCTTTGGCAGTGTGGCCATTTTCATGATATTGATTCTTCCTACCCGTGAGGATGGAATGTTCTTCCATTTGTTTGTATCCTCTTTTATTTCATTGAGCAGTGGTTTGTAGTTGTCCTTGAAGAGGTCCTTCACATCCCTTCTAAGTTGGATTCCCAGGTATTTTATTCTCTTTGAAGCAATTGTGAATGGGAGTTCACTGGAGATTTGGCTCTCTGTCTGTTATTGGTGTATAAGAATGCTTGTGATTTTTGTACATTGATTTTGTATCCTGAGACTTTGCTGAAGTTGCTTATCAGCTTGAGGAGATTTTGGGCTGAGACGATTGGGTTTTCTAGATATACAATCATGTAATCTGCAAACAGGGACAATTTGACTTCCTCTTTTCCTAATTGAATACCCTTTATTTCCTTCTCCTGCCTGACTGCCCTGGCCAGAACCTCCAACACTATGTTGAATAGGAGTGGTGAGAGAGGGCATCCCTGTCTTGTGCCAGTTTTCAAAGGGAATGCTTCCAGTTTTTGCCCATTCAGTATGATATTGGCTGTGGGTTTGTCATAGATTGCGCTTATTATTTTGAGATACGTCCCATCAATATCTAATTTATTGGGAGTTTTTAGCATGAAGGTTGTTGAATTTTGTCAAAGGCCTTTTCTGCATCTGTTGAGATAATCATGGTTTTTGTCTTTGGTTCCGTTTATATGCTGGATTACATTTATTGATTTGCATATGTTGAACCAGCCTTGCATCCCAGGGATGAAGCCCACTCGATTATGGTGGATAAGCTTTTCGATGTGCTGCTGGATTCGGTTTGCCAGTATTTTATGTAGGATTTTCGCATTGATGTTCATCAAGGATATTGGTGTAAAATTCTCTTTTTTGGTTGTGTCTCTGCCAGGCTTTGGTATCAGGATGATGCTGGCCTCATAAAATGAGTTAGGGAGGATTCCCTCTTTTTCTATTGGTTGGAATAGTTTCAGAAGGAATGGTACCAGCTCCTCTTTGTATCTCTGGTAGAATTCAGCTGTGAATCCATCTGGTCCTGGACTTGTTTTGGTTGGTAAGCTATTGATTATTGCCTTAATTTCAGAGCCTGTTATTGGTCTATTCAGAGATTCAACTTCTTCCTGGTTTAGTCTTAGGAGGATGTATGTGTCGAGGAATTTATCCATTTCTTCTAGATTTTCTAGTTTATTTGCGTAGAGTTGTCTTTATAGTATTCTCTGATGGTAGTTTGTATTTCTGTGGGATCAGTGGTGATATCCCCTTTATCATTTTTTATTGCGTCTCTTTGATTCTTCTCTCTTTTCTTCTTTATTAGTCTTGCTAGCAGTCTATCAATTTTGTTGATCTTTTCAAAAAACCAGCTCCTGGATTCATTAATTTTTTGAAGGGTTTTTTGTGTCTCTATTTCCTTCAGTTCTGCTCTGATATTAGTTATTTCTTGCCTTCTGCTAGCTTTTGAATGTGTTTGCTCTTGCTTTTCTAGTTCTTTTAATTGTGATGTTAGGGTGTCAATTTTAGATCTTTCCTGCTTTCTCTTGTGGGCATTTAGTGTTATAAATTTCCCTCTACACACTGCTTTGAATGTGTCCCAGAGATTCTGGTATGTTGTGTCTTTGTTCTCGTTGGTTTCAAAGAACATCTTTATTTCTGCCTTCATTTCATTATTTAACCTGTAGTCATTCCAGAGCAGGTTGTTCAGTTTCCATGTAGTTGAGCGGTTTTGAGTGAGTTTCTTAATCCTGAGTTCTAGTTTGATTGCACTGTGGTCTGAGAGACAGTTTGTTATAATTTCTATTCCTTTACATTTGCTGAGGAGTGCTTTACTTCCAACTATGTGGTCAATTTTGGAGTAGGTGTGGTGTGGTGCTGAAAAAAATGTATATTCTGTTGATTTGGGGTGGAGAGTTCTGTAGATGTCTATTAGGTCCGCTTGGTGCAGAGCTGAGTTCAATTCCTGGGTATCCTTGTTAACTTTCTGTCTCATTGATCTGTCTAATGTTGACAGTGAGGTGTTAAAGTCTCCCATTATTATTGTGTGGGAGTCTAAGTCTCTTTGTAGGTCATTAAGGATTTGCTTTATGAATCTGGGTGCTCCTGTATTGGGTGCATATATATTTAGGCTGGTTAGCTCTTCTTGTTGAATTGATCCCTTTACCATTATGTGATGGCCTTCTTTGTCTCTTTTGATCTTTGTTGGTTTAAAGTCTGTTTTATCAGAGACTAGGATTGCAACCTCTGCCTTTTTTTATTTTCCATTTGCTTGGTAGATCTTCCTCCATCCCTTTATTTTGAGCCTTTGTGTGTCTCTGCACGTGAGATGGGTTTCCTGAATACAGCACACTGATGGGTCTTGACTCTATCCAATTTGCTAGTCTGTGTCTTTTAATTGGGGCATTTAGCCCATTAACATTTAAAGTTAATATTGTTATGTGTGAATTTGATCCTGTCATTATGATGTTAGCTGGTTATTTTGCTCGTTAGTTGATGCAGTTTCTTCCTAGCCTCGATGGTCTTTACAATTTGGCATGTTTTTGCAGTGGCTGGTACCGGTTGTTCCTTTCCATGTTTAGTGCTTCCTTCAGGAGGTCTTTTAGGGCAGGCCTGGTGGTGACAAAATCTCTCAGCATTTGCTTGTCTTTGAAGTATTTTATTTCTCCTTCATTTATGAAGCTTAGTTTGGGTGGATATGAAATTCTGGGTTGAAAATTCTTTTCTTTAAGAATGTTGAATATTGGTCCCCATGCTCTTCTGGCTTGTAGAGTTTCTGCCGAGAGATCTGCTGTTAGTCTGATGTGCTTCCCTTTGAGGGTAACCCAACCTTTCTCTCTGGCTGCCCTTAACATTTTTTCCTTCATTTCAACTTTGGTGAATCTGACAATTACGTGTCTTGGTGTTGCTCTTCTCAAGAAGTATCTTTGTGGCGTTCTCTATATTTCCTGAATCTGAATGTTGGTCTGCCTTGCTAGATTGGGGAAGTTCTCCTGGATAATATCCTGCATCGTGTTTTCCAACTTGGTTCCATTCTCCCCGTCACTTTCAGGTACGCCAATCAGACGTAGATTTGGTCTTTTCACGTAGTCCCATTTTCTTGGAGGCTTTGTTCATTTCTTTTTATTCTTTTTTCTCTAAACTTCTCTTCTCGCTTCATTTCATTCATTTTGTCTTCCATCACTGATACCCTTTCTTCCAGTTGATCGCATCGGCTACTGAGGCTTCTGCATTTGTCACGTAGTGTCTTGGTTTTCAGCTCCATCAGGTCCTTTAAGGACTTCTCTGCATTGGTTGTTCTAGTTATCCATTCGTCTAATTTTTGTTCAAAGCTTTTAACTTCTTTACCATTGGTTCGAATTTCCTCCTGTAGCTCAGAGTAGTTTGATCGTCTGAAGCCTTCTTCTCTCAACTCGTCAAAGTCATTCTCCGTCCAGCTTTGTTTCATTGCTGGTGAGGAGCTGCGTTCCTTTGGAGGAGGAGAGGTGCTCTGATTTTTAGTTTCCAGTTTTTCTGCTTTGTTTTTTTCCCATCTTTGTGGTTTTATCTACCTTTGGTCTTTGATGATGGTGATGTACAGATGGGTTTTTGGTGTGGATGTCCTTTCTGTTTGTTAGTTTTCCTTCCAACAGAGAGGACCCTCAGCTGCAGGTCTGTTGGAGTTTGCTAGAGGTCTACTCCAGACCCTGTTTGCCTGGGTATCAGCAGCAGTGGCTGCAGAACAGCGGATATTGGTGAACCGCAAATGCTGCTGCCTGATCGTTCCTCTGGAAGTTTTGTCTCGGAGGAGTACCCGGCTGTGTGAGGTGTCAGTCCACCCCTACTGGGGGGTGCCTCCCAGTTAGGCTACTTGGAGGTCAGGGACCCACTTGAGGAGGCAGTCTGCCAGTTCTAAGATCTCAAACTGTGTGCTGGGAGAACCACTACTCTCTTCAAAGCTGTCCGACAGGGACATTTAAGTCTGCAGAGGTTACTGCTGTCTTTTTGTTTGTCTGTGCCCTGCCCACAGAGGTGGAGCCTACAGAGGCAGACTGGCCTCCTTGAGCTGTGGTGGGCTCCACCCAGTTCCAGCTTCCAGGCTGCTTTGTTTACCTAATCAAACAACTAACTCGGCAATGGTGGGCGCCCCTCCCCCAGCCTCGCTGCCACCTTGCAGTTTGATCTCAGACTGCTGTGCTAGTAATGAGCGAGACTCTGTGGGCGTAGGACCCTCCGAGCCAGATGCGGGATATAATCTCCTGGTGTGCCATTTTTTAAGCCTGTTGGAAAAGCGCAGTATTAGGGTGGGAGTGACCCAATTTTCCAGGTGCCGTCTGTCACCCCTTTCTTTGACTAGGAAAGGGAATTCCCTGACCCCTTGCACTTCCCGGGTGAGGCGATGCCTCGCCCTGCTTTGGCTCACGCCCGGTGCACTGCACCCACTGTCCTGCACCCACTGTCTGGCACTCCCCAGTGGGATGAACCCGGTACTTCAGTTGGAAATGCAGAAATCACCTGTCTTCTGCGTGGCTCACACTGGGAGCTGTAGACCAGAGCTGTTCCTATTTGGCCATCTTGGCTCCTCCCCCTTATATACTGTATTGTTATGATACAGCTTAAAGTTAGCTAAAGAAAAGTTTTAAGTTTTAGCTTAAAATAATCTAAAGAAAAGAAAATGTTATTAAGAAAATCATAAAAATTAGAAAATGTATTTACTATTTATTAAGTGGAAGTAGATTATCATAAAGGTCTCCTTTCTCATTGTCATCACATTGAGTACGTTGAGGAGGAGGAATAGGAGGAAGAGTTCGTCCAGCTGTCCCAGGGGTTGCAGAATGGAACGAAAATCCATGAATAAGGGGACCTGTATAGTTCAATCTCATGTTGTTCAAGGATCAACTGTACTTTGAAACAGTGCCTGGTACATAGTAAGCTCCATATAAGTGTTAGCTGTTATAATTGCTATATTTTTTATTATGATGTGATCCCCTGTGAATAAACAGATTATCCCTATCAGTAATGGATCAGTTTTATCTATTACCCATGTGCTGTTTCCATGACATATGCTGTGCTTCTGGTGTTCCATTTTGTAGCCTACCCTGCCTCTTTCTAAAATTCAGAGGCACATACAGAAAAATGGGACTTGTATGAATTTTAGACTTTCCTTTGGTATAGCAGAGGAGACCTGCATGCTAACTGGTAGAGAAGAAACAAAGTCCCAAACTAACATCCCCATTCTAGACTCTTTTTTTTTCCCTCTTGAATTTATACTTTTTAACCTTATAGATACCTTTTTCTATAATAAATGCTATAGTAAGTTTTCTTTTTTCACAAGCTCCTGGACCCAAAAGCATGCCGTACAGTTTTGGATTTAGGTATGTGTGGTTAGGATACCTTTGGCTCCAAGTTACAGCAAACTTTGATGCAAACTGACTGAAAAATAAAGAGAAAATTTGTCATTTCATGCTAGAAGTAGTTCACAGATAGGACAACACAGAGAAAGGTATGCCAGGGTTCTACCTCTGCTTCTCTTTGCTTCCCTTTTTTCTGCCCTCCTCTGTGTGCTGGTATAACAATTATAGGAATTATATCCAGATACAAGTACACCCAGAGTAATAAAGGAAACATCAGTATATCATCTGATATACTGTACGTATCTGTACGTCGTTCTTAAAAGCAAGAAAGCATCTCTGAGAAGTTGCCTCACAGGTTTCTCTTCATTTCTCATTGGCCAGAATTGGGTCACACGCCCATAACTCAGACAGTCATTACCAAAGGGAACTGGATTACTATGTTTTGCCTGTAATAATAATTTGGGTGGAATAGTGGTATGTACGTTTGTTCTGTAAAGGGCGAGACAATAAGTATTTTTGGTCTTGCATGCCACATGGTTTGTATTGTAGCCACTAAACTCTGTCTTTATAGCATGAAAGCAGCCACAAATGATATGAAAATGAAAATGAATGATCATGCGGTCTTCTAATAAAACCATGTTTTTTTTGTTGTTGTTGTGTTTTAAGATGGAGTCTTGCTGTGTCACCCATGCTGGAGTGCAGTCGCGCAATCTTGGCTCACTGCAGCCTCCACTTCCCAGTTCAAGGGATTCTCCTGCCTCAGTCTCCTGAGTAGCTGTGATTACAGGTGCCTGCCACCACACCCAGCTAATTTTTGTATTTTTATTAGAGATGAGGTTTCACCATGTTGGCCAGGCTGGTCCCGAACTGCTGACCTCAAGTGATCCACTCACCTTGGCCTCCCAACTTGCTGAGATTACAGGCATGAGCCTCTGTGCCTGGCTAAAACTATGTTTATTGTTACTGAAATTTGAATTTTCTATAATATAATTTTACATCATAAAATACTCTTCTTTTAATTTTTTCCAACCATTTTAAGATATGGAGCTATTCTTAGCCACAAGCCTGTACAAAACTGGTGGTGGATAGATTTGGCTTCTGGGTCATAGTTTGTCAACCACTGAGTCAATTCCCGGGGCCACTACAAGCTATTTTGACTAAAGAAATTCTAATCTAGCTATTTGTACATGTGCTAGAAACTTCACATTTCATACCATTTAGATGTATAGATAGTAATTTTTTTTCTCTGAAACTACTTTTGGAAAAATCCCACAGGCCCTTGTTTGTATTTTTCATTTTCTACCTTGGTTTGGTGGTAAAGGATACATACATACACACACACGAATTATTGCAAATTATGGTAAGGGCAATATAGGAAAAGTCTAAGATGCTATGAGAGGCAACCCTTGGGACTTAATTTACACTGGAATTCAAGAAGACTTTGTCTAAAAAAGTAACATTTAAGATCAGAAGGATGAATATGGAAAATATGTATGTGTGTGTATGGATGTGTGTGAATGGTGGTGGAGGAAATCATTCTAGAAAGAGGGATAAAGCCTCAAAGCCATAAAGAGTTTGGACTTTAAATTCCAATATGTCTGAATCTTTATAGTCCATGAGTGGGAGGTAGCACTTTTTTAAAATTAAAAATATAGATACATGTATACATTGCAAAATGATTCACTAATTCAGCTTATTAACTTGTCACCTCACATATTTACCTTTTTATGATCAGAAAACTTAGGATCTACTTTCTTAGCACGTTTCAAGTATACAATACGTTATTATTAACTATAGTCACCATGCTGTACATTAGATCTCCAGAACTTATTCATCATATAACTGAAAGTTTGTATCCTTTGACCAACATCCTTTCATTCCTCTCCTTCCCCCTGACCACGGCCCATGGCATCTATGGTTCTAGTCTTTGCTTCTATGAGTTTGACTTTTTTAGTTTCCACATATAAGTGAGACTATGCAGGATTTGTCTTTCAGTGTCTGGCATATTTCACTTAGCATAATGTCCTCCAGGTTCATCCATCTTGTCTCAAACAGGATTTTCTTTTTTTTTTTTTAAGATAAATAATATTCCATTGTGTGTATGTAATCACATTTTTAAAATCCAATTATCTGTCAACAGACACTTAGGTTGTTTCCATGTTTCTGTATCTTGGCTATTATGAATACTGCTGCAGTGAACATAGGAGTGCATATTCTTTGAGAGATTGATTTCATATCTTTTGTATATATATCTAGAAGTGGTATTGCTAGATCTATGTTCTGATGACACTTTTATTCACTGAGAAAACACTTGTGATTGAGGCACTTGGTTACTTGTTTGAGATATGAACACAATAATATAGTTCTTCTCAGTAAGTTTTTAGTTACTGAGGGGCAATAGACTACAATATAATGGCTGAGTGCCGTGTTAGAGATATGTTCAAGTGCTGTGGGTTCATAGAGCAGAGAAAACTTCCTTTATTTTGGGAAATCAGGGAGGGCTTCTCAAAGGAATCAGAGTAAATTAGAACTTCATTTGTTCTTTATGAAGTCTTCCTTGACAAGTACCAACTAGTTTCTGTGACTTCCTTATTTAGTCTCTCAGCAGCTGGTCTGTATTTTTACCTTGTTAATCTGTAGTCTGTCATACATTTTTTTTTTTTGCAGCCAACCGTTTGCCCTTTAGTTCTCATTTTATCTGGGTTTTAATTAGATCATGAGGGCCTTAAGAACAAGAATTCTCTCTTGGTTGGATACCAGGGGAAGGTATGCAGAATGGAGAGGAAGACTTAGTTTAATAATTAAATGACAATATGGAATTAATGAAGAGCAAAACCCACGTATAATGACCAATAGAAAGTGGAAGAATGATTCTCTGTGGGCCAATACTCATTTAATGATGCAGGTTGATCACAATTGTTGTGTGGCCATGTAACAATACTCTGAGAGCTGGACTTATGTATTTACCATGGGGGGATTATTACAGAGCAATAAGAAGTATGTGGCAAAAACCAATTACAGAAAAAGAAATGATTTCGAATTAAAATAACACTAATAATATTCTTAGAGATTTGTTGCATGAAAAATGAGAAAGGAATTTGGGAGGAGCAGGCAAACAAATGAGAAATCTGCCTATTAAAGAGGCATAATTTTATCAACTAAGAACAAACAAGTTTTTTGTTTATTATAAAAAAGTTATTGATTGTGAACTAAATGTGTGCATGTTGAGACTGTTTGTCCCAATGAATACAATGGCAATACTGCTTTATTCTGATCAATTATGCATGACCAAGAAAATGGTTATTTAGCAGCTAGACATGAGGGACTTATAGCAAAATAAAATACTCAAAAATTAAACATACTTTATCTTAATCTGAGCAACTTCACTCTGAATATTAGAAAAGTACCAATTTTAATATAGTATGTGGTATTTATTTTGAATTTTTACATAATTTTTACAAAATAGAAAAATATTACCTATCAATATTTTGATAAAATTTCAATATCTAAAAATAATATTTTTATGTAACTACAGCACTGAAAATAAATCAGGACAGTAAATCAGATCAATGAGTAAACAAATACGAGAATATTTACATTGTGATAGTCACATAAATGCATACATTTATAAAATAAATTAGGAAATTTTCTATTATTTTTAATAAAAATTAAATTTATGCTTGCATATATAGGTTTGAAGGCAGTATTACACGATGTATAATTTGTCTTTTAACTTCATGAGGGAGACTAAATGTAGGTCAGACCTTTACTGATTCTATAATTCTTATATAAAATTATTTTCAAATATTCTTTGTAAAATATTAACAGTATAATTATTGAATTTAAAGTTTAATTTACATAGTTACAACTAGTTGAATTGATTTCCAATAGTAAACATTTGGGGATAACTTCTTTTCTGGTTTCGTTCAGTATATTGTTGAATTTTTCAGAGCCACATGTTAGCAAAGCCTGGCTTCATTAAGAAAGCACATATGTACAATTCTGATGTTTACTCATGACTTCTGTCTTTTTTTTTTTGATTAAGCAAGGTCAATTATACATATATTTTATATTGACGACTATTTAGTCTACTGTTAGTGTCTACTTTGCCCTTTAGAATGCTAGAATCTTAGTCTTTGCCTTGCAGTTTCTGTGTAGCAGGGCCTTGGCAGGGCTCTAGAATATTTTTGTTTTAGCAACTCTTTAACAGAGTTACCCAATGCTTTTTTTAAAAAAATAAAGAAGGCCGGGCGCGGTGGCTCACGCCTGTAATCCCAGCACTTTGGGAGGCCGAGACGGGCGGATCACGAGGTCAGGAGATTGAGACCATCCTGGCTGACACGGTGAAACCCCGTCTCTACTAAAAATACAAAAATTAGCCGGGCATGGTGGCGCGCGCCTGTAGTCCCAGCTACTCGGGAGGCTGAGGCAGGAGAATGGCGTGAACCCGGGAGGCGGAGCTTGCAGTGAGTCAAGATCGCGCCACTGCGCTCCAGCCTGGGCAACAGAGCGAAACTCCGTCAGAAAAAAAAAAAAAAAAAAAAAAAAGAATTAACTGCTTGTTTTTAATTTTAATTGACTTACATTTTTATTACTTATTAACCTGAACTTTGAGTCTCTTAGTTTTCACCAATAAAGTGTTATAGTCTTCTATTTTCAATTAATTAAAAAGATGAAAATTAAGAATGGAATTTCTTATTTTGCATAAAAGCTAAGTTATTTGAACCACATTCTTCTGAAAGCAACTAACAAAGGAGGATAAAAATATTTTTTAAAATTCTTAAAATAGTTTAAATGATAAAAATAATAGCAAGGGATTCTCAGACCAAAACCAAAGAGAAACCTAGAAAATAGAATACAGTGAAAAAAATCAGTGGAACTGCTTTTGCTATGAGGGTCTTTTCTTCTTCCTTGAAAATTTCAGCTTTTCTTTTGATAAATTTCTGGGGCAAAGGGGACAGAAACAAAAGCGAAGAACCTATAGTAGGAGGAAGCATTCAACAGACCCTCATCACAATAAGCTGGAATTCCAAAACCAGATACCTTCATGATAAGGGCAAGTTAGGAGTAAACAAGATGTTGCATGGATATAAAGCCTAGGCAGCAGTTATCTTGGTTTTTCAGGGAGACTCAAGCCTTGGATTTCATTTACATTTATGTATTATGCCTTTGGTGAAGGATAATAAACATTCTTCCTGGAGAAATCTATCTTTATCCTAGACCTCAAGTTACTTTTAGAAATATGGTTTCTTTTTACTACTACTAGGCATCCAAGGAAACAAAACTGTAGGATGAAAACTGGCAGAAACAACAGACAACAGAAACAGACTACAAAAATGTCAAATTAGAATTAACCAACAGTTAATATAATACAAGTGTGCTCATTAAGTAAGATAAATCAGTATATCTTCAAGGAACAGGAAGACATGAGATCTAGACACGGTAAAGTGAACATTCAGAAAAATTGAAGACAAAAAAGTCTAAATAGGAGCCAAAGGCAATATTAACTTCAAAGGAATAATGAATAGACTAATCATACTAACTTTTCAACAGTTGAAACCAGAAGGGAGTAGTTCCATCCCTTCCTCAATATATGGAAGGAAAATGGCTTCTGAGCTTGAAATCTATGCTTAATAAGAATATCCTTCAAGAATGAAATAAAGAAAAATAATTTCTAAAAAGTAAAAAGCTGAAAAAATTAGTTATAAATAGTGAGTAAACCTAAATGAGTATTGATAGAATAAGATATAATTACCATTATCCTCATAATCTTACAGAATTTAGAAAATGTATAGAAATTTAAAAATACAACAATAACATTATAGTAGGGAGAATAAATATGTTAAAATATTTTAAGACGCTTCTATTATCCCAAAGGACCCTAAAGTTATTGACTAAACTTAATTTTTTATTATTTAAGAAAAGAGTGTTAAATTTCTAAACTACTGAGTGTAGGGGAAAATTGAATGAGCAAAAAATGATTAATTCAAAATAAGTAAAAGCAGGGGGGACAAAAATCAACAGCATAGGCAGAAAAAGAGAAAGCACAAAATAAGACAGTTTATTTAAAAATTGAATATATTTGTTGTTAAATATACATAGACTAAATATACATAGACTAAACATTCAAAATATTTATTTTGAAACTGAATTAATGAAACTCAGCTCTAAACTGTTTAAAAGATACCCATTTAAAATATAATAATACAGAAAGGTTGAAAGTGAAAGAGCAGTAAAATATAGACCATGCAAAAGAAAGGTATTTTTCCCTGAAAAATCAAAGTAGATTTTAAGACAAAAAAGGCATTACTAGAATTACTTAATAATTATAAAATTTAAAATTACTAGGAGGACCTAGCAATTTGAACTTGCATTTACCTAATAATATAGCCTCAAAATAGATTTAAGAAAATTGACAGAATTACAAGGAACAATAGACAAATACATAGAGTAAAGTTGTAGTAATTGATAGACTATGAGCACACAAAATAATTATTAGGCAAACGGAGCACTTGAATGTGATTAAATGTCCAAACCTAATAAACATATTTAGACCATTATACCCTACTGTGCAGCTTACATAAGCCTTTAAGCACCCATGGAATATTTATAAATACTGATTTTATGCTGTGCCATAAAGCTCATTTCAACAAATTTCAAAGAACTGAAATTATACAGAGTATGCTGTATGACCACAATACAATTAAACTAGAAATCAGTGGCAGTAGATGCTAGAACATTCCATACTATAATTCATTCATTTCATTCCTTCTTTCCTTCCTTCCTCCCTTCCTTCCCTACTTCCTTGCTTGCCTTTCTTTCTTTTTTATTTTTGGATAAAAAACACATAATATGAAATCTGCCCTCTTAATATAAGTGTACAATACAGTATTGTTAACTATATGCACATTGATGTACAGCAGACATCTAGGACTTTCTCATCTTTCATGACTGAAACTCTATAACCATTGAATAGAAACTCCTTATTTTCTTCTCCTCCTAGCGCCTGGAAACCATCACTCTGTTTTCTGCTTGGATGATTTTGACCCCTTTGCATACCTCATGTTAATTGGGTTCATGCAGTATTTCTCCTGTTGTTACTGACTTATTTCACTTAGCTTAATGTTCTCAAGATTCATCCATGTTGTAGCATATGACATGATTTCCTTCATTTTAAAGGCTAAATAATATTCCATTGTATGTATATACTACATTTTCTTTATTTATTCATCCATCAGTGGACACTTAGGTTGTTTCCACCTCTTGGCTATTGCAAATGATGCTGCAGTGAACATGGGAGCACAAAAATCTCTTTGAGATTCTTATTTCAATTGTGATGGAAAAATACACACAAGTGGGATAACTGGAGCATATGGTAGTTTTATTTTCAATTTTTTGAGGAACCTCTATGCTGTTTTCTGTGGAGTCTGCACATTTACATTCCCAGCAACAGTTTCCAGTTTCTCTACATCCTTGCCAACACTTGTTATTTTCTGTTTTTGTTTATATTTGTTTGTTTTTGGTAATGACAATCCTAGCAGATGTGAGGTGATGTTGCATTGCAGTTTTGATTTGCATTTTTCTGATAATTAGTGATGTTAAGGATCTATTCATATACCTATTGGCCATTTATATATCTTTTTTGGAGAAATGCCTATTCAAATCCTTTGCCCAGTTTTTAATTGGGTTATTTGTTT